>NC_000006.12:93662341-93813280 GCF_000001405.40 Homo sapiens | reverse complement strand
ACTGGACTTGAGCCTACAATTTTAGAATCAAAGATATGTGAAATACAGTCCTTACTCTCACTGAGTTTACAGAGGCCAATTTGTTAGCTTTTCAGCCTCTAGGCTGAATTTCATTTATTGTATATAGAAAGGCTTCTGTCTGAGCAGCGTAAATGGTAACTGGCAGCATAAATAAAATTTAATTATGTTAATTAGGTTATTGGTTAAATTCTCATTTTATTATTGGCTGCCCAGAAACTTAAAGCCAAATCTGTGGTCTCAGTTTAGCATGTAGATAGAAATTGTATATTAATTTCAGCCTCAATTATGAAATAATTTATTTCTCAAATATAATTTTTATGAATATATTTCATTTATAATTTTGTTTTCTGTTTTTTACAATCTTTGAATTTGCCTTGATTGTCATTCCATATAAGACAATGTATAAATACATTCATGAATGTATAGGCAAACATACAGGCATACCTTGGAGTTATTGCAGATTTGGTTCCAGACTACTGTAATAAAGTGAATTTCACAATAAACCAAGTCACATAAATTTTTTGGTTTTCCAATGCATATAAAAGTTATGTTTACACTAAAGGCAATTAAGTGTCCCATATGTTTATGTCTTTTAAAAGTAAATATCTAAATTAAAAAAATACTTTATTGATAAAAATGCTAATGATTATTTTAGCCTTTAGTGAGTCGTAACATTTCCTGGTGGGGTCCTTCCTTCCAAGTTAATGGCTGTTAACTTATGTTGGTGGCTGCTGAAGTTTGGCGTGTCTTTGGCAATTTCTTAAAAATAAGACAACAGTGATGTTTGATGCGTCAATTTACTTTTCCTTTCTGAAATATTTCTGTGTAGCAAGGGATGCTGTTTGATAGTATTTTACCCACAGTAGAACTTTCAAAATGGGAGTCAGTCCTCTCAAACCTATGCCTGCTTTATGAAGAAAGCTTATGGAATATTCTAAATCTTTTGTTGTCATTGCAACAATGTTTACAGTATCTGCAACAAGAGTAGATTCCATTTCAAGAAACTACTTTCTTTGTTCATCAACAAGAAGCAACTCCTCATTTATTAAAGTTTCATCATGAGATTGCAGCAATTCAGTCACATCTTCAGACTCTACTTCTTTTTTTTTTTTTTCATTATACTTTAAGTTTCAGGGTACATGTGCACTAATTCCATTACTCTTGCTATATTCATCAAATCTGCAGATACTTCCTCTGCTGAAGTTTTGAACTGTTCAAAGACACCTATGAGGGTTGGAATCAACTTCTTTCAAACTCCTGTTAATGTTGATATTTTGACCCCTTCTCATGAATCACAAATGTTTTTTATGGCTTTTAGGACAGTGAATCCTTTCCAAAAAATTTTAAACGTACTTTACTCAGATTCATCAGAGGAATGACACTCTATGGTGCTTTACAAAACGTATTTCTTAAATAATAAGACTTAGTTGAAATTATTCCTTAATTTATGGGCTGCGACATGGTTGTTGTGCTAGCAGGCATAAATACAACATTAATCTTGTACATCTCCATCAGTGCTCATGAGTGCCCAAGTGCATTGTCAATAAGCAGTCGTATTTGAAAGAAATTTTTTTTTTTTTTCTGAGCAGTAGGTCTTAACAGTGGGCTTAAAATAGTCAATAAACCATGCTGTAAACAGATGTCCTGTCATCCAGGATTTGTTGTTCCATTGATAGAGTGCAGAGTCAATTAAACATAATTCTTAAGGGCCCTAGGAGTTTCAGAATGGTAAATGAGAATTGGCTTCTACTTCCACTAATCAGCTACATTAGCCCATAACAAGAAGTCAGTCTGTGTTTTGAAGCTTTGAAGCCAACCATTGATTTCTCCTTTCTAACTATAAAAATCCTAGATGGCAACTTCTAATTGAAAGCTGTTTTGTCTACATTAAAAATCCATTGTTTAGTGCAACTACCTTCATCAAGTATCTTAGCTAGAGCTTCTGAATAATTTGCTGCAACTTCTGCATCAATATTCATTGCTTCACCTTCCACATTTATACTATAGAATTGGCTTCTTAAACCTCATGAACCAACTTCTGCTGGCTTCCAACTTTTCTCTGCAGCTTTCTCACCTCTTCCAGCCTTCACAGAATTGAACAAAGTTATGTCTTTGTTCACAATTAGGCTTTGGCTTGAGGGAACGTTGTGGTTGGTTTGATCTTCTATCCAGACCACTAAAACTTTCTCCATATCAGCAATAAGGATGTTTTGCTTTCTTATCATTCATGTATTCACTGAAGTAGCACTTTGAATTTTCTTCAAAAATTTTATTTTTCATTCACAATTTGGCTGTTCGGTACATGAGGTTGAGCTTTCAGCCTATCTCAACATTAGACCTGCCTTCCTCACTAAGCTTAATTATTTCCAGCTTTTGATTTGCACTGAGAGATGTACAACTCCTCTTTTCACTTGAACACCTAGAAACCGCTGTAGGATTATTAATTGGCCTAATTTAAGTGTTGTTGTGCCTCAGGGAATAAGGAGGCCCAAGAAGAGGGAGAGAAATGGGGAAACCACTGGTTGGTAGAGTAGTCAGAACACACACAACATCTACTAAGTTTGCCATCTCACACAGGTGTGGTTCACCTGGTGCCCCAAAACAATTACAATAGTATCATCAAAGATCACTGATCACAGATCATCATAACAGATATAATAACAATAGAAAGTTTTGAAATAGTATGAAAATTACCAAAACATGACAGAGACATGAAATAAGCACATGTTGTTATAAAAATGACAATAGGCTTGCTCAGCGCAGGTTTCTCACAAACCATTAACTCTAAAAAGTATAATATTTGTGAAGCACAATAAAGAAAATGCAATAAAATTAGATATGCCCACAAAACTGTAAACAAATCATTTAAAATAATATATTCTCAAATAGGTGTTAAGAACATAGAAATAAATTTAAAAGTTGACCAAATGTTTACATTAAAACTGTGTCATGACAAAGATATGTCCTTATCAGAATAGAGCCAAGAAGTTTCATTTATTCTAGGTAAGAATATAAAAAATTAGTAATTATAATTGTGAGATACTGGGTTTTTAAAGAGACTAGCAATTTAATGGAAAAACATGGTTGTAAAAGGGCACATAACACATTAATTTTATTGAGTCAAATGGTAAATCATCTGGGGGAGATAAATTAACTTTCTTACTGCACACATATACAAAAGAAATTTTAGGTTGATTAAATTCTTGAAAGTAAAAGATAATGATCAGCTTAGTAATATTTATATTACATTTAGGGAGACACAATGATCTTTTATATGCATAATTTTAAAATGGGAAAGGCCTTTCTATGGCATTAAAAATTGAGAAACCAAAAAGGTAATATAACAGGTTTGATTCAGTAGTTTGGAAACTGTCTGCATGACATGAATTACCCATGGATGTATTTCAAAATAAGCAATGGACTGAAAAAGTTTTTAAGACAAATGTAACAGACAGCTTAAATCACCTATAATACAAAAAGAATCATATATCTATAAAAAAGTCTAGTAGAGAAATCTGTAAAGTATATGAACAGGTAATATGAAGAAAAAATAAATAGAATATAAATGTCACAGGGAGGTTAAAATGCATATCAGGAAAACATATTTTAAAACAATAACGTGATAATATTTTTTATCCAACCATTTTGTAAAATTAAACTAAATCCAAGGAATTATACACTTTTAATTATTTAGTCTTTGAAATGTAAAAGGAAATAAATTTTAGAATGACTTGAGATCTATTTGGCAGTATTAATAAAAATGCAAATTACAAAAATTATTGATCTAACCATTCTTCTAATAATATATAATATAAAAACTAGTTCAAGTGCTTAAGTATATATTAGAATGTTTACTTGAACGATAATAAAAATTATAATTAAAATGTTCAGTTAAAAAGATATATATAATAAAAAATAAGAGAGTAATTCTACTAATAAATAATAGACACTAAAAATGTACAAAAATCTGTATTAAGATAGATGTATAATAAATTGTCAAGGGAAGAAACAAATTACAGAAATATGTGTGTGTATGTAGATATACATACATATCTGTATATGTGTATAGGTATATGTATATGTTTGTGGAGATAAAAAGATAGGTAGTTATATTTGATAATATTGAGTTTTAAATGTTGTTTTGCCAGCTGTTTGAAATAGAAATATTCATCAACATTACTAACCCTCAATTGTGTTTAATGCTTTGTTTCGTTTATTAATTATCTTTGCATTGAATTGAATCTTTGAACTGAATTTTCATATAAATGAATTGAACTTTTACCAAATACATAGGTGTGAAACTTTTTGCCTGGTATATAAAATTTGAACAATCAAATATTAGTCCTTTTTCAAACTATTTTTTGCAACATCATATTTTATCCATAAGCTTATGATTAATATAACATGTTTCTAATTATTTCAATCAAATAACCTGACAAAATATATGCAAGTCACAATTATTACCCCAACAAGGAATTTTCTATAATATATATATGATAATTTTTGATTCAATTTTTTAATCAAAATATGTAGATATTGCATTTGTGCTTCTGTTTGCAATATTAATTTTTGAATTGTTTCTTCAAAATTATTTTGTAACAATTTATGAGAGAAAAACTAAAAGCAACTAATCAAAATATGCCTAAGCAATATTATAATTGAATATGAGAGATATTCTCAATTCTGATAATAATGAAGTAATTTGCATTAAATTAAGTACCCTTCTATTAAAAAAATACAAACTAAGAACACAACTTCAAACATACACACACAAGCATACCTACTTGAAGGTACTGGATAGCAATAAGATGCAGATGGAAACTAGAGAAACATGACCCTTGAAGGAATGGAATGGAATTTAGTGATAGCCACATAAATTTTCTTCTGAGAGATCTCACCATACGACACTGCGCATGTTGGCTGGAATTTAAAAATTTATGGAGATAGCTTGTTACAATGGGTAGAAATGTTTAAAGTTTGTAGTATGAGACCATCAAAGGAGATGAAAATTGAATAGGAAAATTATACAAAGAAACAGGCCAAAAAGGAGACAACAAAAGTCTGTGTATAAATTGCCATTAAATTCTTGAGTCACAAAGGGTTGACTACACATGGGGAATGCTCCAAATGTCCAGTTGATAGCTGGAAATTTGAAAAGTTGAGCAGATATTTTCAGCTTGTGTCTACCACAAAGAATACAGAGTTTGGAACTTGAGTCCCACACATATAGAAGAATTTTACAAACATCTTGTACCTTCCAAGTAAAACCCCATAATTGTCTTGCTTTAGGAGTAAAACTATATGTGGAGACTGAAAATTTAAAATGAGGAGTGAAAGCAAAACTTAAAGACACTTCCCTATAAAAAGCATCAACCCAAACCTACAAGTTTAGTGTGGTCAGCCAGTACTAAGTGTCTGGTACAACAAAACCAATGCTCTTCAGAGGAAGAAAACCAAACCCAGAGTTTTCATAGCGTAATGTTGACAGTATCTAGTATGAAGTAAAATATTGCCAATTTATATTTTCCTCTTTTTATATTTCCTTCTGCTTCTTTCTCTTCTTTTCCCTTCATAAAAAATTAGTCAAAAACGTATTAGGTGAAGCCAAGTAAACAAAACATCCACATTTGGGAAAGTGGGGAAGGAAGATTCACAGTTATATAGAGCAAATATAGGAGGCTGGCAAGGATGAGGAATAAGTCAATGTAGGAAGGCTTCCTGGAGTGAAGTGTCAGAGTTTAGCATAAGCGAGGCTTCCATGTGGTAGGGAAAGGCTGATGCAAGTTTTTAAGCCCAGATATGATGAGGAGGATCACGTGGAAAGATGATCTGAGGTTCCTACAAAAAGGCAACCTGGTGTACTTTATACTAATCCAAATGGGATAAGAACAACATCCACCCATGGAGGTAAACAATGAGAGTATGAGAATTATAAACTGTGGACAGGTAACCTGCTCTGATGAAGAAGACTTCTCCAGAAGAAGATATTTGCTATGGAGGGTTGGGATGCAAATGGCATAAATAAGGCTTCCAGATGAGGGTGCAGCCTGGCAGTGTATGGAGGGAGAATATAGGGTGGACTAGCCTGTTGGCAAGTGTTGAAATCAGAATTGAGAGATTGAGAAGGACTTCATCACGATGTGGTCAGTGAGCATGGGTTTTGGAATCTAAGCAGGGTGAGGAGGGAACTGTATTAGTCTTCTAAACCTGTCATAACAAAATACCATAGAACAGGTTAAGCAACACAACTTTTGTTTCTCACAGTTCGGGAAGCTCAAAGTCCAACACCAAGGTTGAAACCAGTCCACCTCAGGGGTCAGAAACAAAACAAAATAAGGTTTCAGCTGGTTTCTCCCTGAGACCTCTCTCCTCAGCTTGCAGGTGGCCACGTTCTCTCTGCATTTTCACATCGCTTACTCTTTGTGCACAAATGACTCTTATGCCCCTCTCTGTTCTTACAAGGACATCAGTCCTAATGGATTAAGACCCTACCCTTATAACCTCATGTAACCCTACATTCCTCCTGAAAGATCTTAACAACATACATAGTCACAATGGGGGCCAGGGCCTCAACTTACTGATTTTAGAGGGGGACACAACCCATTTCACTACATTGGATGTAGATACAAGAAACTAGGACTGTATCAAGGAAAAGAGGCCACCCAATGGATAGATATGGTGGTACAGTGTTAGATCCTAAGTAGGTCATGGAGAACATTCATATTGATAAAAGTGAGGTGGGACTGTGGCAGTAACAAGAACTTGGTTACTTTCTTAGAGGTTGAACAAACAAATTAAATATAGTAAAATAATAACAGCCAGGTATATCACTGCCAAATAATTATATTACAAATAGAAAAAGAGAGAAAACTGGAATAAATATTGAGAAGTTGAATTAGGATTAGAGGTATTGGTATTAATTTATAATTTGTACATACATGTTGTACATATGTATACATACATTTATAAATATAGAAGCACAAGTACATGTTTGTACATACATTACATATATTTCATGTCGATCCTTGAACAATGCAGGAGTTGGGGCACAAACCCCTGTTCCATCAAAAATTTGCGTATAACTTTTGACCCTCCAAAAATCTAACTACTAATAGCTTATTGTTGACTGGAAAGCTTACCAATAACAGAAATAGTCATTTAACACATATTTTGTATGTTATGTGTATTATATATTGCATCTTACAATAAAGGAAGCTAAGAAAAAGAAAATGTTATTAAAAGTCATAAGGAAGTGGATGTATTTTTACTATTCATTAAGTAGAAATGGATCAACATTAAGCTTGTCATGGGGAAAGGATTCCCTATTTAATAAATGGTGCTGGGAAAACTGGCTAGCCATATGTAGAAAGCTGAAACTGGATCCCTTCCTTACGCCTTATACAAAAATTAATTCAAGATGGATTAAAGACTTAAATGTTAGATGTAAAACCATAAAAACCCTAGAAGAAAACCTAGGCAATACCATTCAGGACATAGGCATGGGCAAGGACTTCATGACTAAAAAAACAAAAGCAATGGTAACAAAAGCCAAAATAGACAAATGGGATCTACTTAAACTAAAGAACTTCTGCATAGCAAAAGAAACTACCATCAGAGTGAACAGGTAACCTACAGAATGGAAGAAAATTTTTGCAATTTTACCCATCTGACAAAGGGCTAATATCCAGAATCTACAAAGAACTTAAACAAATTTACAAGAAAAAATCAAACTACCCCATGAAAAAGTGGGCAAAGGATATGAACAAACACTTCTCAAAAGAAGACATTTATGCAGCCAACACACACATGAAAAAATGCTCATCATTACTGGCCATCAGAGAAATGCAAATCAAAACCACAATGAGATACCCTCTCACACCAGTTAGAATGGCAATCATTAAAAAGTCAGGAAACAACTGGTGCTGGAGAGGATGTGGAGAAATAGGAACACTTTTACACTGTTGGTGGGACTGTAAACTAGTTCAACCATTGTGGAAGACAGTGTGGCGATTCCTCAGGGATCTAGAACTAGAAATACCATTTGGCCCAGCCATCCCATTACTGGGTATATACCCAAAGGATTATAAATCATGCTGCTATAAAGACACATGCACACATATGTTTATTGTGGCACTATTCACAATAGCAAAGACTTGGAACCAACCCAAATGTCCATCAATGATAGACTGGATTAAGAAAATGTGGCACATACACACTATGGAATACTATGCAGCGATAAAAAAGGATGAGTTCATGTCCTTTGTAGGGGACATAGATGAAGCTGGAAACCGTCATTCTGAGCAAACTATCGCAAGGAAAGAAAAACCAAACACTGCATGCTCTCACTCATAGGTGGGAATTGAACAATGAGAACACTTGGACACAGGGTGGGGAACATCACAAACCGGGACCTGTCCTGGGGTGGGGGGAGGGAGGAGGGATAACATTAGGAGAAATACCTAATGTAAATGACAAGTTAATGGGTGCAGCACACCAACATGGCACATGTATACGTATGTAACAAACCTGCACGTTGTGCACATGTACCCTAGAACTTAAAGTATAATAAAAATAATAAAAATAAATAAATTAGACATGACTAGCAGATTACTGTTTAACAATAATTGTTAAATAGGTTGTTGCCCTTCCTTGATAACTAAGTATATGGATCGTTTGTTTTACTTTTGAAAGGCGGTTTTCCTGCTTTCAAGTACGATGTCTGAATTCAAACAAAAGTATCTGAGAAATAATTGTACCTTAGCAGAATGTTAGATATTATATAGCCACTGTCAAAAGAGAGAATAATAATAAATTGCATAAGCATATGGTAAGCAAAAAAAAAAAAAAAGCTTGTCATTCTCTTTGCCTTCATTTTGAGTGGACTGAAGAAGGAGAAAAAAGAGAAGAGCTTGGTCTTGCTGTCTCAATGTTGGCAGAAAAGGAAGAGAAAGGTGGAAGGGGAGGCAGGAAAGGCAGGTACACTGAGCTTTTATTGAAAAATATCTCCATATAAGTGGACCCTTACAGTTCAATCCTATGTTGTTCACAGGTTAACTGTACACACACACACACACGTATGTATTACACACACACATGTATATACACACATATATATATAACAGATATTTATGTCTGAGAGCCTGACACAGGGACACTATAGCAGATATTTTTTACTAAACACAAATCTTCAGTTTAAAAATATATAAATCATTGGGTAAATGGATAATTCCAGGGCTGGGACATGGAATGTGTAAGATGAGTTAGAAAATAAAGAATTGCTCAAAGATTGATAGAACTATGTCACAAGGAACAGAAGTCA
Organism: Homo sapiens; assembly: GCF_000001405.40. Classification (NCBI taxonomy): domain Eukaryota; kingdom Metazoa; phylum Chordata; class Mammalia; order Primates; family Hominidae; genus Homo; species Homo sapiens. The sequence continues at coordinate 93,803,940 of NC_000006.12, read as the reverse complement.
GCTTGAAGTGGCCTTCAAATCTTACAGTTTGAGCATTCAAATAAATAATGACAGTAACAGATTATATTTCATTGAATGAAATAAGAAAACCATTAATCCACATAAATTAAAATCGTGTGACACCCAGAAGGATGCAAAGAGAGCACAGTATCACTGCATTGCTATTCCTTCAATGATGCACAACTTGAATTTAATCTGAGAAAATATCAGATAAATTCAACTGGAGGATATTCTACAAAGAAACTGGATTCAAAAGTGTCCAGATTATAAACCTTTTAGAGGACTGTTCTAAATTGTAGAATCTAGAGAAGTATGACAACTAAATGCAATGCACTAGTCCAAACAAAATCTTTTTGCTAGAGGTATGTTGAAACAGTTGACATAACTTAAATGGGGTCTCCATCTTGGGTGCTAGTATTGCTATATTGTAACAGTCAGGTTAATTTCCTGAGTTTTATGTTTGTATTATGATTATACAGGATAATGTCATTGTTGATAGAGAATATCCACTAAATTCTTTAGCGGTTTCTTCATGCTGACATGAGGAAACATGTCAGCAACTTGCTCTCAAAAGATTCAGGTGAATAATTTATTAGCGCTGAATTTGAAACTTCTCTGTAATTTTGAGGCTGTTTTAAAAATATATACTGTGACAAGAAACAAGAAAAAGTGACCCATTGACAAGAGAAAAAGTCAACAGATGTATTCCAGGAAAGCCAGATATGGGATTTGGCAAAAAATGAAAAGTAAATTAGCCATTATGAATAATATTAAGGACTTAAAGGAAAAGACAAATAAACTGATGAAAATTCTCAGTGGAAAAATAAGTATAAATTGTGGAAATTCTAGTACTGACATGTGCCATATCTGAAATTAAGGAGAAAAAAGTCATGGTTGAATTTAATGGCTAATTTGAAAAAACAGAAGCCTTTGTTTGTTTGTTTGTTTGTTTATAAAGAGTTAAAACATTGAACAGGACACCAGTAAGCTATAGGAAATATAAGGAGTTCTAAAATAGATTTAATTAAAGTTCTCAAAGAAGAGAAGAAATAAACTGCAATATTAACATTTTTGAAAATATAGTAGCCAAAAATTTCACAAATTAAATTAAAATATCAATTTACAAAGCCAGAAACCTCAGCAATCCATGCAAAGATAAACACAAGGAAGACTACACAGAGGTTTTATTGAAAATCAAAGATAAAGAGAAATCTTTGAAAGCAGCTAAAGGGAGAAGATATATTACCTACAAAGAAACCATGATACAAATAATAGTGGATATTTCATAAGAAATAATAGAGTCAGACAGACAAGGTAATGAAATCACTACAGTGCTGGGGGAAAATCATTTCAATTATGATTTCTATATCCAGTAAATATTTAAGTCAAGAATACAGGTGAAATAAAATCATTCTCAAATAACAAGTGGGAGCAATTGTTGCTGACAGAATTGTACTACAAACAAAAGTAAGTTTTTTAGGTTGAAGGAAAATAACGCTACATAGAAACTCTGATCTAGACAAGAATGAAGAAAATAAGAAATGACAAATATGTACGTAAGCATAAATAATTAACCTTTTTCTTCAATTTTTCAAAAAGAGCTAACTCTTGATCAACTTCATAACATTGTATTTGTGCTTTAAAAAGTGTTGACGTAAAATATATGAAAACAGTAGCATTGCCAGGCGCGGTGGATCACGCCTGTAATCCCAGCACTTTGGGAGGCAGAGGCGGGCGGATCACGAGGTCAGGAGATCGAGACCATCCTGGCTAACAAGGTGAAACCCCGTCTCTACTGAAAATACAAAAAATTAGCCGGGCATGGTGGCGGGCGCCTGTAGTCCCAGCTACTCGGGAGGCTGAGGCAGGAGAATGGCGTGAACCCGGGAGGCGGAGCTTGCAGTGAGCCGAGATCGCGCCACTGCACTCCAGCCTGGGCGACAGAGCGAGACTCCGTCTCAAAAAATAAAAAAAAAAAAGTAGCATCAAAAGTGGGAGTAACTTATAGTATTTCAAGACGTATCCATCTTATATGAAAAGATAAAATATTCTAGTAAATAATAGTACAAGATTGTATATGTAAATCCTAAGAATAGTTATTAAACACATAACACAAAGCAGTATGGTAAGAACTCTGAAAAGGTATTAAAATGAAATACTATAAATTATATTATTAACTCAAATGGTGACAATAATTGAGAGACAGCAGAACAAGTGATAAAAAAAGATAAAGCAAATTAATAATTACAGTAAGTGTAAATGGAAAGCTGTCCAATTAAAATTCCTGACTAGACAAAAATGAACATAATGAGAATTAGTGCAGGAATGAGTTAAGACTCCTGGAACTGTTGGAATAGAATGGATGTATTTTGCATGTGAGAAGGATATGAATTTTAGGGGACCAAAAGGAGAATGCTACAGACTAAACTGTAAATTGTGTCTCCCTCAAATTCATAAGTACAAGCCCCAACTCCCAGTGTGGCTGCATTTGGAGATAGGGTTTTTAAGACATATTTATGGTTACATGAAGTCGTAACATAGGAGCCCTAAATTTGAAAAGACCAGTGGCCTTCTAAGAAAAGGAAGAAGAAGAGCTCTCTTTTTTTCTACCCATGCACATACCAAGGAAAGGCCTTGTGAGCGCACAGCAGGAAGGTGGATGCCTTCAAGCCAGGAAGAGAGCACTCACCAAACCCTCACTATGCTGGTACCTTGATTTCAGACTTTCAGCCTCCAGAACTGTGAGAAAATAAATTTGCATTGTTTAAGCCATCTAGACTGTGGTATTTTGTTATGGTAGTCAGAGCTAACATGAACTTATATTTATTTTATAACAAGACAAAATCAGTTTTATATCATACTTAATGGTGTTATATTACCAAAAGTTAATCCTCTTCTGGATTATGTTTTTTTTTTAATAATTTGATTTAATGGGACAAATAGATGTTTTAAATTAAGAATCGAGGGTAATACAAGGATTGTTAGAACAAGTAGTAAAACAAGTAAAACCACATTTCTCCTTCTCATCTCTTCCATCCCTCACCTTAAACTCACACTATGAATGATTTTTTTTCTCTCAGATATAGGATTGAATAGTTATTACACTCAGGTAAGCTGTTATCGCTAAGATAAGTACACTTATATATACTATCCTTCAGATAAGTACCATTATATGTACCTGAGGACAACTGTATATAAGTACACTTTGTATTGTGTACCACTTATATATATATATTTGTCCTCAGGTACGCTCTTATCCCTCAAATAAGTGCACTTATATGTAGATATATATATGTATATATGTGTGTGTGTATACATATATTTGTGTGTATATATGTATACAAATACATATATAGAATTTTAGATGGATGGATGGATGGATGGATGGATGGATAGATAGATAGATAGATAGATAGATAGATAGATAGATAGATAGATAGATAGATAACCTTCATATCCTGACTCTCACAAGCTGGAGGAAAGAAACCAGGTGTAAATTCAGTCTTCCCATTACCAGTTCAGTATTTCATGCCCCACATATATAATGAGATCTGTAGGTAGCATTTTGGAACATTCTTCTGCTATAAAGATATCTTTGTGACTCTAACTTGAATATATTTTGTCTGTTGGTATAGCTAAGTATTAGATACTTGAAACATTTTTTGTTCATTTAGAATATATATATATATATATATATATATATATATATATATATATGCACACACACATAGTTAGTAGTAGTTGAATGATGTCTAATTTGTTTTTTCTCAAACAATAGGATAGTAGACTAAGCAAGGCTAGCGCTAAGTAGCTTTCTCTCCAGAACTTAGTTCCTTCGTTGTCTCTGGACCTTAGGTCAAGCTTTGCATGGGTCAAGTGATGACTCTCCACTCATCAGAAGTGGAGAGTTTTTCCATTAGTTTTCGTTAGTTTTTCCATTCCCCTCAAAATAATAAATGAACAACTTAGCCCATCCAATGGCCTGGCCCCAATTACATAAACTACCTTTGTAGCCACATTTGCATGTCAGCCTCCCCAATCTTGTTCCCTGGTGGCTGAGAACTGTGTAATTACCTGGACACTTCATATGTTTCCGGGTGTTTGCACCTAATTCCTTATCCAGCAATGTTCTCCCTCCATCACCCACCTATCAAGAATATCACAACTGCACTTCTGCTTTAAAGCATTCTCATCATCAGATTAAATATTTTATGCCGTTGTACTCCCAAAGCATATTGCTTGTTTTTCTGCCTTCCTCTGGTTCTACTGGAATGAGATGCTTATAAATGTGTCCACGACTTGATGAAAGAAAATGTATCTTGTGTCTTTTCATTATTTGTATTCCTACAGTAACACACACACGGGCACACACACACACACACGAGTAATGCTTATTAAACAATAAGTTGAAATTGCAAGTAACTTGTCTCAGTTATTAAATAACTTTCTGTTCATTGAAAAACATTACTCATTCTGATTACCACAGGAAGACTCACAAAAATTCAAGCATAACATTCCAGCCAAGACTTTAATCTTCAACTAAGCACATTCCCTGGAATCTCAAGAGAGACTAAGTCTGAAATATATTTTATGTGAGTTTATCACCCCTAAGCTCCTTATTAGCATGAGGTCTCACAGAGTTTCTAGATGAGAAGGTCATTTTAAAAATTATTCAGCGTTATTGTATAGTTCTTTTAAAAAATAAATTGAAAAGATATGATGGAAAGGAAATCTGGAGGACATTTGCTCTGAATCCCAGCAGTCTTGACTTAAGTGATGGGCATACAGGCTTCAAACACTGCCAGTTGGAGCAGGAGGCAGTTAGGAAGACACTGATTTTTGTCCTGGCTCTGCCTGTAAGATATGATCTATGCATGGCAAAGAACTTGGATAATTTGTCAGGTAATAACATTTCTTTTTTTTCCAATATACATGGTGGGGAATTAGATATAGAGAATTATAAAATGATAATACGGCTCTAAATCACCCTCCTTTATACAGAAAGATCAGAGCATAACTTTTTGGGGATTCTAATCATGACTTAGAATATACTGTGCCATCTGGATTTGGAATTGGTTTCAGAGTAAAGAGAGTTTGAAGTTCACTAGAAATGAAGCAAATGCTATCTAATGGTTAGAAGTTTGCTATAAATGATTCAGGTTCAAGTTAAATATTTTAAGATGAGGCTGAAATCCATGGTTTATCATATTTCATTTAATCTGAGATATTATCTATTGTAAAATTCACCAATAATTTACATACAAGCAAAAATGAAAACCCACTGGCAATTATAGTTCTTATACATTTTGCTTGTGCTATGCATTTGGGTTTTGAAAATATTAAAATGTGCAAAAATGTGATTCTTAGAAGCAATAAAATATAAATGTGTGGGTATAAATCCATTCTTATTTATCATATATTCACCAAAAACTCAGGATGTTCAAAACTAAATATATCTATCACAAATATGTACTATTTTCTCCTCTTTTTTTACATTGAATAACAATTCTTTCCTCCCAGTGTTTGACCCACTTCCTTCTATTACTCCCCATCTCTTATTGGTCATAAAGTTATTTGTCTCCTCTATTCTCTCTGCCCAGTGTGTTCTTTCTCCTTTCCTCATTGTTTGGCTGTTTTTGTACCCCATGTCAGACCTCACCTTTGATACTGCTTCCTTTGAAAAAGAAAAAATCCTGAATGTGCCAAGTCTTGATTAGTTGATCTTTCTAGTTCTCAGCATAGAACCCATAAATTTCCATTCATAACACATATCTTCTGTTGTCCTCAAACATTTATTTTTCTGTATCCAACACTAAACACAATTTTTATAGGGTCAAGGATTGTCATTCTGTTTCACAATTGAGTATCTAGAATATACCAAATGTTCCACATGTATTAATTGTTGCATGTCACTCAATGATTAAAAAATAAAAACAATTTGGAATTTAAAATATAAAAGTGATTTAGTTTTCATATATTATGAAATATAGTATGTACAAATAAATACGTTTTCAAATTGGAAAAGGAACAAGAAAAAAACAGCACAACATTATGCAAAAGAGAAGTTATTTAAGCGTCAAATAAAAGATAAAATGTACTGATTCCTAACACATGCAAAGTATCTATTTTATCAATTTTGCTTTTATGCCAGACACACACTGTATATAACAGAGGAGAAAGTTTTATTTTAGCAGTTTAATTGTGCTTCCCAACTCCAAACTACCCTTTCAATCTTTTGGGAAAATGACCAATAACCTACATTGATTGCATTTCTGCTTCTGTAAGGCAAGAGACTCTCAATGGAGCCTGTAATCTCTTTGGGTCAGAGAATTAAGAATATAAGTCCATTTCTTTCCAAGACATTGTTTTAGGAAATGCAAAAGGTTAAGTATGTCTCTTGAAGATCTTACTTTAAAATGAAATTGAAATCACTATAAACAGACAACACATTTTAAATTTTTTGCTAAATATTTATTTTATTTTTAATTGACAAATAATTGTATGGATTTATGGGGTACAATGTGATGTTGTGATACATGTATACATTGTAGGGATGATTAAATCATACTAATAAACATTTTTGTGGTAAGAACACTTAAAATCTACTCTCTAAGCCTTTTTGAAATATACAACACATTATTATTAGCTATAGTCACCATGCTGTGCAGTAAATCATTAGAACTTACTCGTTCTGTCTAACTAAAATTTCATACCCTTGACCAATATCTCCTTTGTCCCTGTTCATCCTTCGCACCTCTAGTCCCTGGCACCCACCATTCTACTCTCTACTTCTATGAGCCAGACTTTTTTAGATCCAACATGCAAGTGTTATCATATAATACTTGTTTTTCTGAGCCTGGCTTATTTCACTTAGCATAATGTTCCCTAGATTCATTCATGTTATAATAAACGACAAATTTCCTTATTTTAAAGGCTAAATAGTATTCAGCTGTGTATTTTTACATTTTCTTTGTCTATTTATCCATTGATAGGTACTTAGGTATTTTTCACATCTTGGCTGTTGTGAATAATGTTTCCATGAACATGAAAGTGCAGATATCTCTTCAACATACTGATTCCCATTCCTTTGGATATGTACCCAGAAGTGGAACAAGTTTTTGGAGGAAGCTCAGTACTGTTTTTCAAACTGGCTGTAATAATTTGCATTCCTGCCAACAGTGTATAAGAGTTTATTTTTCTCTATATCCTCTCCAACACTTGTTTCTTGTCTTTTTGATGATAACCATTCTACTTGATGGGAGGTGATATCTCATGCATAATTTGAAAATATTTCTCTCTAATCTATGTGTTGTCTCTTCACTCTGTTGTTTCCTTTATTGTGCAGAAGCTTTTTAGTTTGAATGCAATCCAATTTGTCTATATTCACTTTTGTTGCCAGTGCTTTTGGGATCATATCTAGGTAATCATTGTCCAGACCAATATTGTGAGGCTTCCCCCTATGTTTCCTTCTAGTAGTTTTACAGTTTCAGGTCTTATGTTTAGCCCATTTCAAGTTGAGTCTTGAATATGGGGTGAGAAGAAATAGAACTATCTTATTTTTTGTTGGTGGGGGTGGGGTTTATTTCCCCTTCATTCTATCAAACTTCTTGCATTGTAGCTTTCACAAATAAATATTTATTTAAAATAAAGTAGTCAATTTTATAGAATTTGTATCTATCGTGTAAATTTATTATAAGGGTTTCTTCTTTTTGAGATATAGTATAAGAAATTCCTAGCTGGCTTTGTTCCTCTATAATTAGGCAGTTCAAATAGTGGAAATAGTATAGTCTCTAGAGCTCAAATTTCTTTAAATATACATATAAATATAGTAATATTGGGTAAATCAGTTAATCTATGAGCAGCAGTTTCCTAATCTGTAAAATAGAGGTGATATATGAAAAATTATAAATTTTAGAAGTAAAATTAAATGAGATTTATAGGCGAAATTTCTGACACTTAAAAGTATGAAACAAAGCAAACAAAACAAAGTAAAACAAGACTGATCTTTTTAAAATCATAGATATTTGGTGAAGTGTATCTTAATATTACACACACACAAAAATAAGACTCTTCATTTTAGCTATAAAAAATAATTCAGGTGTACTAGTTGATGTGGCTTGGATTTGTGTCTCTTCCCAAATCTCATGATGAATTGCAACCCCCATATCAGAGGAGGGGCTTGGTGGGAGGTGATTGGATGATGGGGGCAGATACTCCCCTTGCTGTTCTCATGATAGTGAGTGAGTTCTCACAAGATCTGGTTGTTTAAAAGTGTGTTGCACCTCTCCCTTTGCTTCTATTCCTCTTCCTCTTCCTCCAGCCATGTAAGGCATGCCTGCTTCCCTTTCACCTTCTGCCATGACTGAAAATTTCCTGAGGCTTCCACAGCTATGCTTCCTGTAAAGCCTGTGGAACCATGGACCAATTAAACCTCTTTTCTTTGTAAATTACCCAGTTTCAGGTATTTGTTTATTGCAGTGTGAGAATGAACAAATATGCTAGTTATATTCTATATTAATGTAGGTGGCTCATTTTTCAAAATTAAAAGAGCTATTTACTAGACATTCATAATGATTTCTTTCTAAAATAGATTAAGACTTAAATGACACATGAGATAACAAACACCCCTCATAAGCATTTCTTTATTGAATGCAAGATGCTAGAAAAATCATAGGATAACATTGTGATAGAATATAAGAGTGTATGTTGGAACAGGCCAATATTTACCTGAAAAGAAAATTAGCAAAAAATATCACCTGGTGTTACCCTATAGCTGCTTATTTATTTTTATTTTTTCATACTACAGTTGTCTTAATTTTTTTCATACTACAAGTTTTATCCTCCGTGCTCCATTAGAAGTAAAGGGCTAGAGTGACAAAAAAATAGTTAAATTTTTTCTTAATTTTTTTTTGTTCCTGATCCAACGTGTCACTTTTTTTCTTTCTCATTTTTAACATGATAGATATTTTTGTCCTTTGGGTAAAGTATTTGATTGAACATTTAAGTTACTTTTTTAGATCTTCAATTTGCACTGATTCATCTCAATAATGCCATGGCTTTTTCACCTCCCACTGCCACTAGCTTTAATATATCCCAATGTTATATGTAGCAAACTCACAAGGGCGGATAAATTTTTGTGCACTCTGTTACTAAGAATCATAAATGATCTTAAATATTTTTGCTGAAAATACTCTTTTTCTTTAAATTGTGAGTATTTGCTATAGTCTAACTGAATACTTCAGCACCTTGCACATGCTAAATATTCAATGAATTTCTCTGGTTGATACATTCATGCAACATCAATTTTTAAACTGTTTTAAGTTTCAGGTCACAAACACATTTGTCATGTTTCTTCTTTTATAAAGATTGTAAGTCATTAATCTGTCAAATAATAGTATTGGATCATGTAAACTTCTAATATTCTTAAATCTTGAAAGTTTTATTAGTCAATGACTGTAATAGTTTAAGGTTGATACCACAATACTGGACATAACCAATGGGCTCATGAATCATTGAGTGGAGATGAGGAGTTTATGGCTAATCTTATTTATTCTTTTAAGTCTTGTACACTGACTTCAAGGAGGAAGTATGACAAACTTCTGTACTGAAAACTGTAGATCCTGAATCAGCTGCACTGGATATAGCCTTTAGTATACTGATAAATCATACTGGCCTTGCTTTAAAAAGTAAAAACTTCAGTTTGTTCATCTCATGTTAAGAGAAGCAGATGAAGAGTGGAGAATACAATTGTCTATCAAAATGCTCTCAAAAAGCAAACTTGTATACCTCTGTTAAATATATTATTTTATATTTTGCTTTTTTACACTTTCTTGAATTTGGAATCCTCTCATAGTAAGTTACCAATTTTTTTTGTTATGAGCATATAAACTAAAAAACAAAGGAATAAAACTAGGGGGAATATAAATATTAAACCATGATGCTGAAAAATCACATGGAAATGTAAAACAAGGAGGTCTTCTGGTTTAAAATACATTAACCTTAGAATAACATATTTTAATCAACATATATCATTCTAGATTTAGAAGATATAAGAGAACTTATGTTTCCTTTATGGTGAATTTTGAAAATATCACACTGACAGTAGGGAATAGATAATTTTTGAAAAGAGAGAACATGTAATAGTTATATCATTTACACACAAAGTAATTGTATCTTTATTTCACTTATTAACAATGCCAAAATTAAAATCTGACTTTATATCGACATATTATTAAGTAAGAATTTAGACCAAAGACTGATGATAATTCCTTTTAACACAGAAAAGTCATTCAAAGAAAAAAATGTCCAAAATATGATGACTGCAGAAATCAATGCGAATGAAAGTAGGAATACCTTGAGAGTAATAAAACACTAACAATTAACAAAAAAGAAGGATCCCTAAAATATACGATTTAGAAAGAAAAATTACAAAGTTGCTGTTTGATCACATTTAGAATAAAGTCTCCACTCAATAAGCTAATTATAGCTAGAAGACAATTAAATGTAATCCCTAGTGAATGAGAGGAATAAAAGAGAGATGGTGAAAAAGTAATTTATTTTCTGTGGCCAGTATACTGAATGCTTTTTATAGAAAGACTATAATGATAGAGAGCTGAAAGGAGCCTATCTGAGAAGTAAATGGAAGTAAGAAACTAACTTGGAAACCACAAGGATGTCACAAGTATGTTTTGCATAGCAAGGCTTTGTATGCATTTAACAAAAAGAAATCATATTAAGGTTATTCATAATACCTCTGTCACATAATAAGAGTGTGACCCTGGACAAGTTACTTAGCCTACTAGAGCTTCAGTTTTCTCATCTGTATAGTGGACATAGAAATGGCATTTTTCACATAGGGCTTTCATGGGGAATAAATGAGAGAATGTTTTTATAGTGACCAGGGCAATGCTTGACTCACAGTATGAATTAAATAAACATTTGCAATGCTATGTGGGTTTTTTTTTTTAAATTACAGAATAATATTTTTTTTCTGTTGGTAAGCCTAGCATTTCTTATCTAAACACAGTAACAGCTGCATTTATTCAATGTTTCTTCGCACTCAAGGTCCTGTGTAACCTGAACTGCTCTGTAACTCTGTGAGTTATCGCTCACTCTCTCCATGCCACACTGCTTCTTCTTCTTCTAATACAACGTATTCCCTCTGTCGGATCTTTGCACTGGCTGTACCATTTTCTCAAGGAGATCCACATAGCCATCTTCTTAACTTATTCAATTCTGTCACCCACTAATACTACACAACATTGCATATTAAAATTTCACAAGTCACATACCCAGAACTCCTAAGTCCCTTACCTTGCTCTACTTTTTCCTTTCCAAATCACTTTCTAACAAAATTATTTGTTTATTAATATCAATTGTTCATTTTCTGTCTCTCCTCTTGAAAATGTAAATATCATTAGCTGTAAAAAAAAAAAAACTATCTCTGCTGTTTATAGTATAGCCCAAGAATGGTATTTGATTCATGGTATGCCACCAATACATTTTTGAAGTGGAATTAAATATATAAATCATGTCCAACTCATTAAAAAATAAATACAGGTAGCTGGGCACAGTAGCTCACACCTGTAATTCCAGCACTTTTGGAGGCCAAGGTGGGTGGATCACTTGAGGTCAGGAGTTCAAGACCACCCTGGCCAACATGATGAAACACTGTTTCTTCTAAAAATACAAGAATTAGCCAGTCATGGTGGTGCAGGCCTGTAATTCCAGCTACTTGGGAGGCTGAGGCAGGAGAATCACTTGAACCTGGAAGGCAGAGGTTGCAGTGAGCCGACAATGCCCATTGCACTCCAGCCTAGGTGACAAGAGCAAAACTCAGTCTCAAATAAATAAATAAAACAATAAATTAATCCATAAATCAGTATTAAGTATTGCCAGTACAAATTTAGAAATAAACTGAGAACATAAGAATTGCTTGTTCAAATGTTCATACCTAGTAAATGACTGAACTAACATTTAAACCCCAATAGGTCTAAACCCATAGTGTTTGCTTTATTTGCAATGCTATAATTTTATCTCATAAGGAAAAGTAAGAAGGTTCTTTTATTGCCTAAAAGAAATTCACTGAAGCATTATGAAACAATAGGTTCTATATTTTGGCACCAAAAATTACATGTACTCTAGTCTTTCTCTCTTTACTTCTAGTACTTACACTGTGATAACACTAGTAGTGAATAAGTTAAATACAGAAGTCAGTAATAGAGCCAAAGAGGTGATAGATCAACTTGAAAATGAAGGAACAACGGAACAGCATGGAAAATGTGTATAACAGAAGAGAAAATGAAGAGAGGTCTACAGTGTCTATTAATGGGAATATTGTCCAAAACTACATATATTCTAATTTTTCTAAGATCTGATATAGTTCTCACTCATGAATGTCAATGTGTAAATTTTTGTTATACTTCAAAGCTGTTATTTAGTGTTCTAATTTGCCATGTACCAGAAAATACAAGTATATAATTAAATAGTTGTTTAATATTCTCCCCTTAAAATGTGGAGGGAAAACACTCAGCTTATGCATGAGAACTAATATAAATTGTACCTGGTGTATAATTGTAATGATATTAAAAATATTGTCCATAGATGACTTTCATGATTAATAAATTAATGTTATTCTATACCACTTCATCATCTAGGTTTGCATTCCACTAGCCTATGCACAAAAAAGATTTTGCCTAGTGATTAAGAGGGTAGGTATGATTGAAAACAGACCAGGATTTGAGTACTGGCTTCGTCACATCTTAAATGTGGGGCCACAGGATGGTTATCTATTCTCTCTAGGATTCTGTTTCTTCAGTTGTGAAATGAAGTTGATTCACATATCTGCCCCAAAAGAGACACTGTTAAAATCAAAGAAAATAATGTTTTCAAACTAGTTGGTAAGCATTCAGTACATGTTAGTTTTCATTTTTCTTACATTGTTATACTTGATTCATCATCAGATACTCTTAATATTTTTCTCCTTTAAATACCAGAGTATAAGCTTAGATTTTTATGAAGTTTCTCGTTGTTGATGGTGGTGGTCTTGTGGATGTTAGATATTTTTTCAAAATAGTCATAAAACATTTGACAGAATTAAAGAACCTCAAAGTGGACCTTACAAAAAGAAGTAGAAAAATAATTAATGGAAAAACACTTGCTTGGGAATTAAAAAAAGAGAGAGAGGTCATTTTTATGACTCTCATGAATCATCCTAAATGGATTATATCCAGGCCAACATTAATTTGTATGATTCCTCTGCTGAAAAGGGACTATAGCAGATGGATTATTATTATTCATATCCTTTACAAACAATACCTGATAAATGCCATTAGTATTACAAGTTCTTTGGGATGCATAAATTTATATTGTGCAAACTCAAACAAACCACTGGGGTTTCTATGTGTCCAAAGTGTTAGTGAGCATTGGTCCATATACTTCATTAACATTGTTTTTTAAAAAAGACTAATGAAATTGAGATATAAATTGTCCCCACTCCAACTCTGAATAAAAGAATACTCATCACAGAAAACTTGCATTATTTTCTTACCACTTAATTTATTTTTTAAATTTTGTATAAAGTCTACAGCTGAAATTCATTTTAATCTTCATTAAATGCTCCACAACTAATACTTAATTTCATATAAGTTTAGGTTCTCTATGAATACACAAGGAAAACTTCTTCAATTATTCTGTCATATATAATTAATTGCTGTATCAATATAAACTGATTTTTGTTTAATTGAGGTGGTCTCCATTGGTGAGTTCTCATTATCCCCTTGTAATTAGCAGCGTTTCAAGAGCCCTTTGAGGTGAAGACTCACATCTTCTTAACAGACAGCTATAAGGAGAGAATTCCGTTTAGATTTCAGACTGGCAAAAGGGGAGTGCCAACCAGTTAGCACTGTTTTTATCCACAAAGAAAGCATGGAGGTACCAAAGAGCTATGATATATTAGTTATAAAGGGCTATTTATGAATAGTTAGTTACAAAAAGATAAGATTTTAAAAGCTTTACTAGAAACACATCGTTTTTATAAAGTGTAAGTTTTTCAGATAGAAGTCACTTTGAAAGAATAAAATAATTATTCAAATTCTCTCTTCGGAACTTAAAATTTCACTACTAGTGTAGGGCAAGGAAAAGTGAAATGTGTTTTATTCCCCTGAGTACATAAATAAGCTGATATTATGTGCAACTGAATCAACAATGAGCTCATGTTCAAGTCTTTCTCTCCAGTGAAATCAGTAGGGAGTCATGTGCTCATGCTTCTTAATGGTGTCCTTATAACTAGAGATTAATTTCAAGTTTCATAATAAAAAATTTAATTGTAGATAATGTTATATGTAGAATCTTGTCACTTAATTGACTACCTAAAAATTTATTAATTAAGTTTTGAAGCAGAATTATTAATAACTACATGAAGTACACATTATTAGTTATTGGAAGTTATGAGCCTATATTTTATTTCAAGTATTATCATTTGATATATATATATATATATATATATATATATATATATTTTTTTTTTTTTTTTTTTTTTTTGAGATGGAGTTTCACTCCTGTTGCCCAGGCTGGAGTGTAATGGCATGATCTCGGCTCACCGCAACATCTGCCTCCCGGGTTCAAGCGATTCTCCTTCCTCAGCCCCCCGAGTAGCTGGGATTAGAGGCACGCACCACCACGCCTGGCTAATTTTGTATTTTTAGTAGAGATGAGGTTTCTCCATGTTAGTCAAGCTGATCTCGAACTCCCGACCTCAGGTGATCCACTCACCTCGGCCTCCCAAAGTGCTGGGATTACAGGAGTGAGCCACCGCGCCTGGCCCATTTGGTATATTCTTGATTAATGCTAAGTATGCATTCATACAAAGATAGTAAGATCCATAAGGACTATGTCCATCCTGTTTTCTTGAACTTACCATGGAATTGGTCATAATTTTTATAAGTAAAAGAGTAACTGTTAAATGAACATTGAGTCCATTTTAATATGGGTAAATGGCTTAAAATAATTAAGGAAAGATTCTACAAATTTCTTGTGAATAAGCCAAGAATAGAATCCAAGACTTTGGGTTTGGCTTTGTAATCAGAAGACACCATCTGATTTGTCTTACATGTCACACTATGTTTAAATCACTTGTGCTATTCAGGAGGAGGAAAGAGAGAGAGAGAGGGAGAGAAAAAGAATGTGTTAGGAGACCAAGGCAGGCGGATCACGAGGTCAGGAGATGGAGACCATCCTGGCCAACATGGTGAAACTCCATCTCTACTAAAAATACAAAAATTAGCTGGGCCTGGTGGCACACACCTGTATTCCCAGCTGCCTCAGGAGGCTGAGGCAGGAGAAATGCTTGAATCCCGGAGGCAGAGGTTGCAGTGAGACGATATTGCGCCACCGCACTCCAACCTGACCACAGAGCGAGACTGTTTCAAAATAAAAAATAAAAATAAAAAAATAAAATGAAGGAAGGAAGAAAGAAAGAGAGAGAATGTGAGCAAGTGTATGCCTAAATTTTAATTCATCTTTCTTACTGAATCAGCTCTTTCCTCAATGTTCTTCCTTAGTTATTTCTACATCATTTAGGTCATTTTTATCCATCATGTGTCTTTTCTGATCATTGAGTCCATGGATGAAGCAATAAGTTAACAATTATTATAGAAATTGCATTTAATTTTTATTATTAAAAATCAGTAAATATTTAGTAAAAACATTGAATATGTTAAATGAATTAATTTAATAAAATTAGTCTATGCCCCGGTAAGGAGTAGCTTTTGCACCACCTACCTTCAAAAGAAGAGGGAAGACATTCTGATTCGTAGTGCTGGACAAGGCTTGTAATCACTACTGCTTCTAAGGAGCAGCTATTTAACCACACAGTTCACCAGGATTAGTCAGCCTCATGCCATGCTTGTTTAACATGGTAGCTTATGTTCCAACAGCATCATGGTGAAGCCTATTCTCAGAATGCAGCCTTCAAAACAGGACTGTGGGTTGAGGAGTAGGAAGAAGGTTCACACTGTTGTTGCAATGCACTGTAAGTCTGTCCTCCAAGGACATAAGGTTCTTTTCAACCTGTGGAGGAAAACCTGTGTGTTTTCCACGACAGATGGGGAGTGGGAGGGAAAAAATGGTGTCCTTCTTTGTGTACTCCCTTTAGCTAATATTGCTTGGATATGCATACCAAACAAATATGTTTGGGAATAGAGTGGCATTGAACTGCCCACACGAATAATTGAGGGTGAGGGTCAGTGCCAGCTCTGCTTTCTATGCTCCTGTTTTAGTTGAGTGAGAAAGTGTAGGGTTCAGCAAATACGGGGTAATGAGCTACAGGTGAGTTTTTTGCATAAACTGAGATAAATGATCAGTTTGAACAGAGTAAAAATAAGGATGAGGAATTTTTTACTTTAGAGCTTGCTACAAATGCCTCAAAAGTAAAGCAACAGTCCCTATCCAAACATTGAGAAGTAGGCAATGTATTTTAAAGTAGTGACTAGTGTTGTTCATATGCCTTGATATTAGTAATAATATTTGGCATGCAAGCTCTCTGTTGCCTAGTTCACTGCACTCTATAATTAGAGTTTCTCATTATAAGAGCAATAACTCAGGATTCAAATAAACAACTCAGGATTTTGACATTTGTGGAAAATAGTACTGAAAAATCATTACAAGAAAAAGAATATTAAATACCTATAAGTGAAATATGGTCAACTTAGTCACCTACTGAAGAAAATGAATAATTACATTTGTAAAAGCAAATTACAAAGGGAAAAAATGCAGCCCGTTAAAATACGGCTAAATCACTTTTAATCCTATTGTTATGGCACTCGGCTTTGTGGCAGAAATTAAAGTATCCTGAGAAGAATTTCTTACCAAGAGAGGGTTAGCATGTTGAAGAAGACAGTGTTTTGGATTATTCTACATATCTCTACTATAAATAGGATACTTTTAAAAATGCTGTTTTGAGCTATTCAAGTGAGTTAGTGATCATCTATGGCAGACTTCACAATAATGATGGACTGACATATGAATAGAGGAAAGGCTTATCATTTTAGATGGACAAATCTTGGTGAATTCAAACTATAACCTGTAATCTTTAATTTAAACTAGCCACTTAGCTGGTAAAGGTAATGATTTGTCATGCGGCTTATTCATTTACTGTTAATCACCAGGATTCACATATTTGAAATCCCTAGCATTCAGAAACCTGTAAGAGGATTCATGCACGTGTTCTACTTTATGCTCCTGATTTGCAAAACAATGAGGCTGGTAATGATGTGAAAGATTTAACTGGCTCTCCTTGTGTCTCCTCTATCTGCACTGATTGTTATTTGTAAAGAGGAATCTTCAGAAGCCTGCGGTTCCCACAGGATGCTGAGCAGCCAGGCACTGGGTTAAGAATGACATCCTGTGTCAGGGATCAGATATCAGTCAGTTAATAGCTTTGCACTTAGAATTGCTGAATATTTTTTTCTTGTTAAAGGCCAATTTTTTTGTAAAGTTATTTTTATGTAAAGTTATTTTCATAGTCATAATATAATGTAGACTGGAAGATTCTTTGAAAATAGCAATGGTTTAAATGATTTCTTTAAAGCAAGATAACTTTCTATTTTATGTATCAAATCAGTTCATAATTTATATTTATGCAATCCAGATTCAAGAAACACAAAACAATTCTTGCCAGTCTTTGCACTGTGTATTCAGATTTTGCTGTTATTTTACAAGACTTATGCTGTAAGAAGAATTTGTTTTAGTAAAATAAGAGTGAACTATTCTTTTCCCTCATTGTCAAGAAGGTTATGTTTGTTCTATTTCCACTTTCACTTTCCAAAAGTTATTTTAATTATTCCAAGGAAATGTGATATAGTCACATTTTAATTTTTTTTCCTAATTACAAATAAGAACAAAAAATTCTCAAGTATTAAGATGTGAAAAACTATCGTAAGTAGGTATGTCCTGTCAGTTTTAAAATCTTAAATGATTTAATAGGTAAACAGTAAAAAAGTAAATTTCTGTTAAAAAAAAAAGAAAAAAAACCTCAGGGGCAGGATTTAAAATGGACAGACACAGTTTAGAAAATGATGTTGTCTTAATGGTGAACCTGCACACGCACACATACACACACACACACACAGCGGTACATAATGGGGAAAACATTAAAAGATTTAGCCAAAAATTGTTTTAGGGATTATATAATTTGGAAAAGGAAGGAAGGGAGAAAGGGAAGGAGAGAGGGGATGGAAGAAAGGAAGGAAAAAAGAAAGAAGGAGGGAAGAAAGAGGAAAAGAATAAAAGATTGAAATAGTGACAGCCTTCTTATTCCAGAATTCAAAGTAGACTCCCTTCACCTCCAAGTGAAACATGGACCTTAAACACTGGTAAAAATATGGCTACCGTATTCAGATTGTTACTGGTTTTTCAAAACCCAGCACCATGAACCGTAAAAACGAATAAAATTTACATCTGCCATTTTCTTTCTCTTTCTGTTTCTCATTCCTTTCTCCCTTTTCCTCCTACACAGCTTCTGTGCTAGTGCTTGTGTTTCAGTTTCATAATCTGTCCATTGTGAATTAAGAACATTTATTTGGCAGTTTCTCCTTACCGACGGGGTGCATGATATATTGGCCTCTGTGACACTGAGTCAGATCCTGCTCGGATTCCTACAGTTACTAGTAAATACCATCACTCCTGAGGCAAGCAAGAGTGCAGAATCAGAAACAACAGCAGATGCTGCATCTGTTGGAAGGGAACACAGTTAAGAAGTGTCGATGACTCAGTGACAGTTCTATTGATTTTTCTTTCTTATTTTTTGATGAGGATATGATGCAAAACAAATGCCTTTGCAGTGGAGACTTCAGGGCAATGAGATTTAAAAGTTCCTATTTTTTTTTTTACCTTGTTTTGTGAAATGTGATGCTACAATTACTAATGATACTGCAATGTTCATTTTTAGTTCCTTATCTGAGGGCCCAATAGCTGTCATCGTTTAAATGCAGAAGCCAGGCCTTGCAGTTGTTTTCTAATTTAGTTTGTAGTTAGTTTCTCAAATGATTTGAACACAGTTTTTGTTTGTTTGTTTGTTTGTTTTGTTGTTGTTGTTGTTTAACACACTCATTATACCACAGTGCCTGTTTTATCCTCTGAAGCTGTTATTCGGTCCATTTTAGCCAAATAAGTGGCTAAAAAGAGTAACAGTTTTGTTTTGTTTTGTTTTGTTTACCTTGGTGACTGCAGTATTGCACTGTTATACTATTAACTGTCAATTTTTAAAAATAAATGTACAAGGTCAGAGTTGTCTGCTTTGGTCTGAAATGTCCCTAGGTGTATAATTAATAGGAAATTTACTAGAAACATTCTACTTCCCTTCTCTCAGGGAGTTTTGTTTGTTTGCTTGTTCTACTGCTTGCCTACTTGCTAGCCATAGAGGATACTCCTGAGCATATGAAAAACATATGAAAAACATATGAAAAAAATCCCCCACAGTCATCTCCCCAACCACACCTCCCTTTGGCCAAGAAGGCATCTTTTAGCTAACTAAGAAATCACATTTTGTAAAACATAAGCTACTTTCACAATCGTGGTAAAGCACATAACTTTTTTAGACTTCTGTCACATTTTGTGAGCTTCGTTCCTGCTTTTTCCGTGGTTCACACCATTAACTAGATGAGTAGGTGACCAACTGAAAAATCACTAAAGTGCACTTTACCAAGAGTCCTGTTCTGTGTTGCCCATAGCATTAACAGCCATTTTTGTTGTTGTTATTTTAGAGGGATGAAGACATCTAGAAAGAGTAAGCCATGTGTATTCTGGGAAATGTCCCATTTTATGTATGTCTCCCAGCAGGATATTTAAAAGTTGTTTCAAAATTCCCTTATGATGAATTTATATTCACAGTGTCAACAAATCTTTACTGAATGACTGCTGGATACATGGCACTGCCTCACACTACAAGGAATAAAATGATTTAGATTATTCATCATTAAAATCTATTCAGTGCAATTAGAGAACCACCATATCAACAGAGTGCCTGGAGGAAGAACTCACAAGTATAGAGCCCTTAATCAAATGTAGGTACTACTCTGAGTGCTCTACACACATTATCTATACAACTCTGTGAAGTAGTATCTAATAGTCCCATTTTAAAGATGACGGGCTTAAGATTCAGAAAGTATAATTCAGTTATGGGATTGAGATTCAAATTCATGTCTTACTGATGATCAGGATTCTCTTATGGTCAAATGCCTTAGAAGTTTGAGAAGAAATATATGTCTGGCCTAAAAGGTCAAGGATGCCTTCAACAGAACCTTTTCAAATAAATACAGGGTGAATACTTAAGATAGCTAATCATACTGGAGGAAACTGAGCAGCACTGCTGGAATAATAAAGAGAAATTTGTATTTAGGGAGAAATGGATGCTTCCTAACTGGAGCCTGTAGATAGGCAGATGATAGATAGATAGATAGATAGATAGATAGATAGATAGATAGATAGATAGACTAATGATAGATAGGTGCTTAGAAATGTAGTTTCACATCAAAGTAAGGAAATCATTGAATGCCATAAAAATGTCATATTGCACTATTGTGAAAAAAGGTGAAAAAACAGAAATCTATATATTTTAATATAAATAATTTAATAAATCCTCCCTATAAGTAGTTCTTTCTCCACCAACTATATGAAAAACTATGAGCACTATTTCCACCTCAATAAATTAATCACACATTTTATGGATGAATCATATTTTATTCAACCTTTAGTTTCTTTATATCTATTTGGTTTCTTCCATTTTCTTTTTTTTTCCTTAAAAATATTCAATTGAATATCTTTAATCATATACTTGTATATATGTTCAATTACCTCCTTAGGAAACATTTCTAAATTTGGATTGCCAGGTAAAGAGGTTTTAATATGTTTTATCAAATTATTTTATAGAAAGTTTCTACCAGTTTAGATTCTTACTATGCCAAGTTAATTTTCCCTGAATATCACTTTCAGAACATCATTTACATACTTAACAAACGCTTTCCTATTTTCCTAACCTAAGTTGCTGAAGATGTCATCTTTATCCTTATCTCCACGTGCTAAATATTCATATAACACCCTCCCTTTTGTATCTTTTCTTCAGGTTTATTGCATTCAAGTTCTAGATTTGTTTCTGCATGCAATCCAGCCGACAGCAACTTTTCCTGAGCTATCTCCATTTCCTCCATTTATCTATTTATTTATTCAGCCATTCACATATTCACTTATTCAACAAAATTTATGAGCACCTGCTGTATGTTGGCATTGCACATACACATTGGATATAACATTTAAACTACTCTTTTGATCCTTTTAATTGAAAATGTGATGAAATAATTATTTAAAAGAATTTTTAAAGACTCCACTTTCCACTATTTTTAATGACTATTTTTTATCTTACCTTTCAGATTTTACCCATGTGCATATTTTAAAATACTGAATTCAAATGACAAAACCCTTCATGATTTTATTTAATATTTTAATTTGATACTTATTACTACCTCATATTGTAATTTATCTTTTACTACATATTAAGCCTTTACATTCCAGTTTTAAACTCTTGCTGCTGAAGAGAATGAAATTGATATGGATGAAATGTGACTAGATAGAATGAAATAAATAGATGTGTTAAGTCTCTTTTTTCTCTCTCCTTCAATCTGAAGCATATCTAGATGTGTGGATAGCAGTTACGCTATAAATAACCTAGTCATCTAAGGGATAACAGGGGTCAAAACTTAAAGAATAAAAAATCATATATTTTCAGCAACAAAATGATCTAGGATTAAGTCAGAAACATCATGCATATTTTTCCTGGGTAGTTTGGCTGTCTTGTTTGCTAAGAAAGAATGAGTCAGTTTTCATATATTACAGGAAAATAATATTTGCCTTCTAAATAGCTGACACTGGGTTTTGCATTTCCTAGAGCAACGAGGAAGAGTTGCCTGCAAAAGAAGGGAGATGAATTAAATGGTTCTGAATGTAGGCCAGAATCTTAGAGAAGATATTGCAGCCTGTAAGGTAATAGCAATGTAAAGATACTCAGTTAGTAAAAATTATTCCAGAAGGCTTCTGTTTAATGACTTCCTGGGACCACATATCTTCACATAATGTCAAACAGTCAAAAAGGTGTTTTTACATCTTTGAGGGAGAAACCAACTAAATGTCTCCCCAAATTCCCACACCACCACTTGTCTAGTTTGGAATCATAATCTTCCTGGATTTCTCAACTACTAGACCTAACTCTAATCTGAAAAAGTCTTTTAGAGATGGTGTTGCTCCCACCCCCAAAGACTCTTTGAAAGCTATATTGCTCCTTTGGAGCTGTCCCATGGCTGAAACTCAATCTGAAAGTTAAACAGTCCCTATAGTATGTCAATGGCAAAGAACATTTATATGGCAGCCCTGTATTCCTATGACAACTTATGGAGGTCCATCCTTAGGTCTCTAAGAACATTATCTACAGGAGAAGGTGCTGTCCACGGTTAACACTACACAGCCAATTCCCCACTTGTGTGGCTGTGGGTAATTCCTGACAAGTGCCCAATTGCCATCTTGAAATGGGGGACATTTGGAGCAGTACATGCTCCTATAGTAAATGATTAATGTGCATTTTTCTGATCCTGACAGATTCCAAAAGAAGAGTAGATTGCTAGCCATAAAACTAAGCAGCATCAATGTGACATTACTGGAAGAATCCGAAAGTCTTTGCAGAAATGCTGTGCTTACTCCAATGTTTCTCAAAAACCAGCAATTTTAAAGAGACTAGGGTCAATATAAATGAAATAAATGGAGGCTAAGATAAAATATGTCAGAAAATTTGCTGAAAGGTTATTTTAAGGTGGCCTGTTAAAAACAATAATGGGCCATTAGGCTGTCTTGTTAAAGGCATTAAAGTCACAGGCACGATGTATGAGTCACATGGGCAAGATTTTCCATTTTATATATAAAAAATTCAATATTAAATTTCTGGTAAAAGTACAATATTAGTGTTTCTGTGTATATTATTACAAATCTTATTTAAATTGTAGGCAGAAAAATAAGCAAAGTAATTAATGCCTGTAGAGATGTCCTATCTAAATGTTATATAATTAATGTCCCAATATAGATTTTAATGTATTTTATTTATAATTAAGTATGCATTTAAAAATATTTTTGGCTGATCACTTTACACTCAGGTATACTGACTCTCTTTGTCAAAGACATCAGTAATTAATTCATTTTTAAAGCAAAATTTTGAGCACCTTCAATGAATAGGATAACTTACTAGCTAATTGAGGATATAAATGATGTATACAAAACGGTCATCTCATCATCTAATCTGGAATTAGAGACAGGTGTTTTATGTGTGGGGTGTGTCCCCATGAGCAAAGCTTCATTTATTTTGTTCACTGCTGAAACTCCAAGAAACCTCAACAAAATCTAGCACAAAGAAGACATTTGTTAGTAAAAAGAATCCTTGCTTAAATCTTGCTATTTTGAAAATTAATTCTCGTAGGTTCTTTCTGATTGTTATCCATTATTTTGGAGCCTAGATCTTAAATCATTAATTTAGTTGTTTTATTTAATTTTGCAGTAACAACACTGAGGAAATCTTGTTTCTGTTAATTTTTATGGGCTACTGATTATAAAGAAAAAATAATTTTAAGAAACATGAATCTGTCTGTGGTGAATTCCCTTGGCTAAGAAAACTGGCCTTTGCTTTTTGAATTTATTTATTTATGTATTTATTTGTAGTCTTAGACTATTGGTGTCATAGCATCAACGGTTAAAAATAAACAAAACATAGATATAGATAACTATCATTTAGATACAATCATTTATGACCCTCAGCTCAAACTCCCTCTTCTTTGTTATGAAAACTCAGGATCTGTAAACGGCCTTAGCTATTTTAATTAAATATCTTCTATCAAAGGTACCATATGGGAATTGTTGGGTTTGTCTGTTTGTTTGTTTGTTTGTTTTGCTTACAATATTTATAATGCCACAAACTGCCCGTTTAAATACTTTCTAAATGTCTGCATTGTCATATTTTTAATCATTAAAATTAATTGAATAAAAAAATCTTTATTTTCTATCCAGCAGTGCTCAGGAGTTTTGAAAGGAGCTGACTCATGAGCCATGTTCTGGGACACTGCTGATTCTCAGTGGGCAAGCTGTACTGTGTGTATTTTGGAGCTCCATAACACAGACTCATGCCTTGAATGGGGGGATGCCGGGAGGGCTGGGATGCTTGGAGAGAAAAAGAAAAGAAACAGAATATGGCAAGACACTCTACATGCTAAAGCTTACAGATGCTTTGATTACAGGAAACTTACGTAAATGATAACAGTGCGCAGAACTAGACGTGGAAGAAGGGAAAAAATATGGGATCCCGACATAGGCCTTTGTACTCATAAAATCACGGGTGAGACTGCTGAAAACAACTGTTGGGAGTTTTATGATTTAATCCCATTGACTGGATCACTGAACAGGGCATTTTTCACTTCCAGTTTTCGTGCTTTAGCTGACCTACGAAATCTCATGGTTTTGTTTGGTGACACGTGCTTTTAGGAAAACTTGTTATTTCTGCTGTTCTGCACTGCCCTGTCTCCACTGAACTGCCTGATCTCCTGTGGAATTTACAGTTTCAGCGCAGCCAGCAAATGCAGGGAAAGAATGTGTGCTTCATAGCTGGAGTGCTCCTGATAACAGTCCATTCTGGTATCGGTGGCTGGAAGAGAGAGGGACTGCCACCCAGTGTTTTTACAGTGCCTGTTTCAGGCAGCTTCTAAATTGACAGCGAAGGGTGGAGTGGGTAGGGGGAGAAACAAGAAAAAAAAATTCCCTGTCTTTGGGGTGGGGGAGATAATTCTAAAATCTCTGAGAAACTTAAATATGGTAATTCCCTATTCCAAACATACACAAGTCACAAGCAACCTTATTCTTTGGTTTCTA
Organism: Homo sapiens; assembly: GCF_000001405.40. Classification (NCBI taxonomy): domain Eukaryota; kingdom Metazoa; phylum Chordata; class Mammalia; order Primates; family Hominidae; genus Homo; species Homo sapiens. The sequence continues at coordinate 93,778,992 of NC_000006.12, read as the reverse complement.
GGCACATTTTTGAGTTTAGCACAATAGGGAGAAGAAAATTGGAGGTTAGCGAATCCAGTAGGGCAAGAGGTGAAGAGGACTAAATTTCAGTCAAGACAACAAGGAAAGTACAAAGAATACAGTTTCTCTTTCATGTGCTTTGATCGTCTTTCCTGTTTTACCCTTAATGAATACTTTCTCAAAACTAAAAATAAAACACTGCATTCTATTAAATTGTGCTCTTCCTCTAAGGGAATTCTAAATGTGTAAGTGTATGTTTCTCTTCCATGAATATGACTATATATTTTCACATTTTATATATATATATATATAATTTCATACATATATACTTGCATATGTATATTTTTCTTCTTCTGGGAGCCAGAGAGTGGTCAAGAGAAAAAGGGAAAAAGAGTCCATGCTAGAAACTCAACAAGTAAATGTTAGTTTCTTTAAACTGCTAATGACCGCTGGGCGAGGTGGCTCACACCTGTAATCCCAACACTCTTGGAGTCCGAGGCAGGTGGATCACCTGAGGTCGGGAGTTAGAGACCAGCCTGATCAACATGGAGAAACCCCGTCTCTACTAAAAATACAAAAACTTGGCCAGGCTTGGTGGCACATGCCTGTAATCCCAGCTACTTGGGAGGCTGAGGTAGAATTGCTGGAACTCGGGAGGCGGAGGTTGTGGTGAGCCGAGATCGTACCACTGCACTCCAGCACGGGCAATAGGGCGAAATTCCATCTCCAAAAAAATATTCGAATGACCAAACATAGTGAGGAGTATCAGAAGATTTACAGTGGTGGCATAAAATTGTACACATACCACGAGAAGCAGAGGAAGGTAAGGCAGATCGATATTTGTATCTTCACTTTGTGCTATAGAGTATGCTTTCTCCCTAGCCCCACATGGTAGCCCTTGGAAAGTAGTAGATTGAAGAGGAGACAAACATTTCATGTGAACAGTTAAGGTGTGCCACGTGTGTATGCTCAGGGTGAAACTTCATATTTCATTCTAGGTAATGTGCCCACAAAGTCTCATATTATTCTAATTGGAGAATAGCCAAAGAAGAAATATAATCCCAAATATTTTGATTTGACTTTACTACCCTGCTTTTCCTTACACAGAGGACACACATGTGTGTCCTCATACTGCATGAATACAGAGCTGTTTTAACATTTCTTGATGCTAGCTATAGCTTTCTTACTCGTAGACAGGACCTTCACCATAGTGGAAGTATGCTAATATAAACATGGTCAGTGACTGTAGTCATTACAAATAAGTTCTTTTCAACTAATTGACTAAAATAATCATATTAATAAATACATGATACTCGTACGCACAAGTCACCTTTTCTCCCACACTGATGGCTTTGATTACTTTGACAGACTAAGATGCACTAATGATACAAATTAGAAGCAAAAAGAATTAAAAAGGTGTTTAACTCTGATGCCAGGCTGTCAATTTCCTATAGTGCTACCAACTTACAGATAGATGATTAAAATTGTTTCATTTAGGAATTTTGAATATTTTAAAAATTGAATGGGTTTCTGGGGGAGGAAAAAAGAAAGAAAAATCCTTGCTTAGCTAATTAGACATCCTATTTGATTTAACAATAGAGCAGGATTATTCTTTGAGTGTTGAGATCTTCCTTCATTACTACAAGAGCCTACATTTTGCTATCTTTGCTCATTGTGCTTGTCTCATTCCTTATGTTTAATATTATTGCTACTTTTTATTTAGTTACGAGTTTATAAAGAACAATGATTTTAATTTGTTTGTAAAGCAACTATTTCCAAAACATGATGCTAGATACCATGGGTAAGGCCCAAATACATGAAATATGATTTATCTCTCTGAGGGTAAAGAATCTAGCAAAAAAAAAAAAAATGAAACATGCACACAAATGACCATGTATATTGTAGAATCTTGAGAATGACAAAATAGCACACACAAGGTACTTTGGCTGCATGGAGGAATTTAGTCAGACAGCGGAATTTCAAGCCTTAATTTAGTTACTCTATATCCACCTTGAGAAAGTTACTTAATTCATTTGGGTGTCCATTATATTATCTGTAGGTTGGGGTAAATAATAGTTCTCTCTCAGATATAAATGAATATTAATTGAGTTCCTAAATGTGAACTATTTAGAACACAGACTGGTGCACACTAAGTGCTTTTATGATACCCAATAGTTCACCCCAAAGATCAAGTATATATTTCTGTGGATTTATAAAGTTCCTTCTCTACTGCATCCACTATACTATAGCTTATTCATCATTATCTTCCCACTAATTCAATAAGGTGAATATTTATTAAATAAATGAACTTATAAAGGGATGGATGAATGTTTGATCATCAGTTGGTTATTTAGTTGTTTAGAAGCTCTAGCAAGATCTGCATCGCTATCTCTATGGGATGGTCACCTTTGTCTAAAGATGCAGTATGAGAAAGCATGCAATAGGGAAAGCCGCCCTCTATCCAAACCGTCAAATAAGCAGAATCAGTTCTGGGGGAAGGTGGCGTGACACATCATCTTATATTCTAATTTGTTGTAATAAATGTTAAAAAATAAAAACTCTGAAAAAAGCAATAAATAATTATCATCTTCAATTCTAAAAACAGAGTTTGCTTAAATAAGTGAGTGTTCTTCGGTGGCTATGGCTGGTGGAGGATGAGGATGGAGTAATGAAAAGAGTCCCACACAGTAGGTCAGAGTCTTGACATGCAGACGCACTCTTGTTGTTGGTTCTGTGATCCTAGCAAGTCAGCTCCTGTACTTCCTTGTCAATTAGGAATATTTTTAATATTCACTTGGTTTCTTGCGAGAAAAACATTGAACCACCTGAGTGTACAAAGAAGTCACGAAAGTACTGGCTTTCATATATTCCCAGTCTAGTGAAAGAATATGCACTTGAAGAAGCAATGTTTGTTAGAACAAAAATACTCCCAAGGACCAGATTTGACATATAAAGACCTACTTGAGTTGAAATTTGGGGTCTGTCACTTACTAGATAAATGACTTTGAATAAATGACTTAATGCTCTGAAATTTAAATTTTCTCCCTTGTTAAATAAAATTACTTGCCCTAACTATGTCAGAGGTAGATATTTAAAAAGCATTCCCAAGTACTCTGTAAGTGTATGAACATTAATTAACCGTATTATAAGTTTTTAAGTGTGGAAGATGCTGTCACTATAGGAATATATAACGGTTAAAAACTTTTAGAAAAAATTTTTAGAAAAATAAGACTCATTCACATGAAACAACTAATACTATCAGATTCTATATAAGTGGTCACAAATGTAAGGTACAAGTATTAACATTTTGGTGGTTGAAAAGTGTTTAAGAACAATTTCTAAGATAGAGATGAATGTAAGCTCAGTCTTACAAAGGAATACAATTTTATTAAATCTTCAAAATCAAAATGTATTTCAGAGAATTCCTAAGTTCTAAATTTCCAGAAACTGAAAAATTAAGTAATTTGTTTCAGTTCCCTGGGTTTGCTATATCAGATTCAAGAATATTCTGTTTGAATACCAAAGGCATCCTGTAAATTCTTTGGCAAACCTCTCATTAGATTGAATTTTACATGACTTTTGATGAGGGAAGTCCCTGGAAAGTAACTGATTTAGGACAAATCAGCCCAAATAGTCTTCTTGGCCATACTTACCAATTAATACATATTATTGATGTTATTAAGGACCATCTTACAGTTGAAAAATAGATCAAACAACAGCCTCCTCAGGATATAATTGGAACACTTTGATCTCATGGAGATGATGCTAATAAGAATGATAATGAAGTGGAAAAGACAGTTAGTAACAATAAGAATTATAGTATTTAATATTCAGTGAGTTCTTATGCTGGGCATATTGCATGATAACTGACATATATTACCTTTTTTAATCTTCACAGTATTCACAATAAGAGAGTGAGATGTGCACTATACATTTCCATAATTTTATAAAAGAAAACAGAGGTACAGAAAACCACACTTTAGTTAGGTAGTTAATAAAATGTGGTGCCAGACTCCAAATTTGGAATTTTCTTCCAAGAATTGTAGCGGACATTGTTGTTATATATATTTTTTTTATGATAAATTTTATCTCTCCCCTTTTGTGTAGCAACCAGTTCCAGAATTGGCCTAAGGTAATCAATAATGTCATTTTCTAGCCCAAAAGATATAATCCTTTATTCAACAATTTTTAAATATTAATTAAGCATTTACTATAAGTCAGACACTATTTTAGATACTACAGAGAGGTTAGTGAATTGAGCAGTAAAGATTCCCTGCTTTTTCTGCCTTTAGGGATTTCACAAAAATGAAGAGATTGACCTATAAATAATAAACATATTAAAGATCACAAAATAAGAGATTGACCTATAAACCAAAAAATGTGAGCATAATAATAATGTAATGGTTATGATCATGAACTATCAAATTAGAAGTTATAAATTCAAATTACTTTTCATCACTTTCTAACAATGATCTTGGAAAAGTCACTTAACCTCTCTGAAACCCAGTTTTCTCATCTGCTAAATAGGGATAATAGTATCTAATTCTAGAAAAGGTCTTTGTGTGATATGAATAATATATATAAAGAGCTTAGCATAGGGCTTTAAATAAGTGCTCAGTGGGGTATCTATTTTTAAATATATCTCAAATGTAAGTACAAAAATTGACGTAGGGGGCATTACTCCAATTTGCCCCTTCCAGTTCATCACACTCTTTTTGCCCATAATTTAAATATATCTTAAAAACAAAATTTGCTCCTAGAAGCCTTTTAAGATTAATTCAGCTCACACAAAGATTTCTTCACCAACATAATCAAGTACTAATTCTTTTTTTTGTTGTTTTTTGTTTTTTGTTTTTTTGAGACGGAGTCTCGCTCTGTCGCCCAGGCTGGAGTGCAGTGGCGCGATCTCGGCTCACTGCAAGCTCCGCCTCCCGGGTTTTCTCCTGCCTCAGCCACCCGAGTAGCTGGTACTACAGGCGCCCGCCACCACGCCCGGCTAATTTTTTATGTTTTTAGTAGAGACGGGGTTTCACCGTGTTAGCCAGGATGGTCTCAATCTCCCCTTGAGATCCACCCGCCTCGGCCTCCCAAAGTGCTGGGATTACAGGCATGAGCCACCACGCCCGGCCTCAAGTACTAATTCTTAACTCACGGGTCTTAAAATTTTCTTAAATTGATTTTGATTTGTATTTGGAATTTGGTCATTGTCAACCTCCCTTTTATATTGGTTCAAGAAAGAATATCTGACCCAAATAGGACATTTACATTTTTTAATGGATTCTGAGAAAGAAGACATCTTGTGAGTAATTCTTGACAGTGGGGTGGTTGAATGTAAAGTCTAAATCTATACTGTCATTTTACCACTACGAGAGAAGTCAGTCTGACGATAAGCTGACCCTGCACAAGGCCTGCAGAGTGATGACTCCGTGAGCAGTTAAGGCAAGTCAATCTTGATTTCCACCCTATCCCTGGATCTTCCAGTTATAAAAGCCGAAAGCAATCAGCCAAATGCAGAAAAACAAAACCCACTTTTTTTGTCATGTATCGTTTAAGTCAGTCTGAGTTGCTTTCCTTTTAAGTGAAACACAGAGCCCTAACAGATTAAAAAAAAAAAAAAAAAAAAAAACTGGCTCCATTGTTGTGGGATAGAAAAAAATCAAAGGGTGAATATATTTTTCATGCCTTTTATTCAGCCAGGTGGCACAAATTAAAGGACCAAGTTAATGCCAATATGTATGCTCAAATCTGTATATTGAGCCAATCTCAGACTTATGACATTAACACTGTACAAGCCTGTATTACTTCATGAAATGAGAATGCTGAGTCTTTGATTACAGGGCCACTTTAGCCTTTAAACACTGCTTACCAATATTTATGCAATCAAATGCTGAAATTTAAAGTCTCAATCTTGGGGTCTTTTCCCCTTTGCATGTGAAAATTGCGGTGGGGAAATAGTAAAATGGCTCACTACCAAAGACATCGTTTTATGTTTGAAACCATTTCAGAAAGTTTTAGCCTAACTTATAACTTTTTAAAAAATTGTTGGCATGTGATTTTTTTGTTGCCTCTTACTTGAACAGGAATATATTAATAATGTTACAGAACTGACATCATCTTCTTATCTCCAAGTAACCTGTGGTGTTTGTATGTATGTTTGTTTTTGCTGCAGTTTCCTAAATACACCGAAATGGAATTCTGATGTGGGTTGACTCACATAATTGCAAAGGTTCTTGTGTGATTTTTTTTCAGTTAAACATGTCAGGGAAGAAATATAAAACAAATAATAAAATGGATGCAAACACTCATCAATCAAGAGCTGCCTGCCACTTCAGTGCTACTAGAAGGGCCCTCAGAGTGACAGCACAAATGCATGTTGGCAGGCCAATCAAAGCTTTAGAAATAAAACAAAATGTTTCATACCGACCCCTCAACTCTCTAAGGCCGTGACAGCCCAGTTGCAATTTCATTTTTTACATTAGTTTTGAATTTCTTTATTAAATCATTTTCATTCCGATCCTTTGGCTTTCACATACATGCCAATACCATTGATGGCAATAAAAAGTAAAATATTTATAATCTTTGGAGAATGGTGTTCTTTAAATATATTTGTGACTTGTATTAAAGCACAATGATAATATTGGCATTTTTAAAATTTTCACAGACAGTAAGTTATGTAATCGCAACATAAAATAGGACTTTAAAAAACAAAGAAAGGGGCAAGAATGAAAAAAGCAATTATTTTTCTCATTTCATCACTATTCTAATGCCAATAATCCATAGTTCCTTTTTAAAATTGTATAAATATAAGGAGATATAACTCAATAGAACTGCTAAGATTAACAACTGCACTTAATGTTGTTCTTAATGTACCTTAGTCTTGGTTTGTGAAGCCCAAATATTCATGCCAAATTTATTTACAGTGGAGTTACTTCCCTTTATTGGTTCAATCATAGATTGCCATCCTAATAACAAAGCTTCCAGCATGATTTGTAAAGTTTTAGATCCACCATTGGTCTAGTTTGGGACATATGAAGCATGGCAGTGAAAAGAAGGGATCTTGTTAATGCATAAGGATGAATGGAAATTTCCATTTCGTTTTTCATTTCAAGCTAGGAAAGCAGATGTATTCTAAGAGACAGCACAACTGAACTAAATTCTTCTTTGCACCCAGCATTCTCTCTTGAGGCAATATACTTTTCCTTTTTTCCTAAATAATTCACAAATTGCTTCCGCACAGAGGCCAAACCAGGTCAGAACAAAATTCAATTACCTCCTATCACCATATTCTCCTCTTACAAGGGAATGCTGTGGGTATAAGGTTTGCTATCTTAATCATATGTAAAGGTTAAATGCCAAACATAATTATAAAATTTGGGGGTCAGGATGATAGCATCTGATATCCTGTATGTTTTATTTTATTTAAAAAGGTATGCTCAGTCTTACCTCTTATTTATCTATCGTAATAATTCTTCATTAAATCCTTCCAAAACTGCTCTTTTCCAGGGTTTTTCTAATTATCTTTACCTACACGCAGACCACAAACCATGCTTTGTGTCACATTGGGGCTCATCAATATGTCATATCATGTTCTGTCACTTTACAGAACACAGTATGATAGATGAGATTTCAGAACGAGGCACTACATTATCTCTTGGCACAATAAAACATGAAAAGAAATAGATTCCTCATCCGAATTTTTCCATGTATTTGCACTTACACACACCATATGGGTTTTTCCATAAGATTTTGAAAGTTCATTAGAGTTAAATAATTTTAAATATATACTATTCTAGACATTTACTTTTTCCTTTCCTCTTTATAATGAAGATTTGTGATTCTAATTAAGATCTGTTCTCAGTGATGAAAAATAAAAGACGGATACTAAATTCTTGAGATAGTAAGTTTACTATTCATTTACTTCCTGTAATGTTTACATCAGTCCAGTGAGTTAGGTATGATAAAATGTATCATTCTTGCTTCAAGATAAAAATACAGAGGCACTGAGAGATTAAATCATGTAACTTAAAGTCAGACACTGTCTAAGCAAGGTCTAAAGAGGCTTTTCTACTTCTCCAACTGACCAGATGTACATGTTCAAGGCAAGATTATTCTGCACATATGTTGAGAATTTACTATGCTACATATTAATCTGTGTTATTGTCATATTGTATAAACACTTGTGTGGTGGGAGAACTTTGTTCCCAATGGCCTTTGACCCCTGTGTTATACCTATTAACATGTTAAGTGACATGGCAAATGGAACTTTGCAGATGTTGTTAAGATGAAAGTTCTGTTGACCACAAGGTAGTAAGATTATTCTGGATTATTCAGTGGGCCCTATATGATCACATGAGTTTTAAAAGCTAAAGCCCAGCACACATGAGGACTCCTACCAGTTGTTATAAACCAAAGATTAACAATTATATTGAGCAACAACAAAAAAGCCAATTCAAAAATTACATAAGCCTAGAAAAAGAAGAATAGGGATGAGTTTGACAAAAAAGAAAGTTGAGAAGCCCTTCCTTCAACACTTTCCTCCACACTGCCCCTTACTTTCAGTCTTGACAGTCTTGATGTGACACAGAATTTCTTGACATCAGCATTGAATGGAACCATTAAAGAGTGAGGACTTTCTAGGTAAATAGTCTGCAGCATCCTGGAAGATTGTCTCCAGCCAGCCTTTAGAAGTTAGCCTGGAGTGTGATATTCCCCTTGTGGTGGGGTGGGGGGAGGGGGGAGGGATAGCATTGGGAGATATACCTAATGCTAGATGACGAGTTAGTGGGTGCAGTGCACCAGCATGGCACATGTATACATATGTATCTAACCTGCACAATGTGCACATGTACCCTAAAACTTAAAGTATAATAATAATAAAAAAAAGTTAGCCTGGGACTAAACTATGTACAAGATAGAAATATAGTATCAGAAGCAGTAGAATATTATCAAATCTCACACCTGTAAGCAGACCAAAATGGCAGCGGCAGCCAGAGAAGAGGTGTGGGGACACAGAAGTCATAGTGGGGACAGCATGAGCCACTATTGTGTGATAAAATGATCAAAATGCAGGCACTTGGAAATCTCAACACAAACCAGCTCATTTGTGAAAGTCCTCTTTGGAGCTGAAGTTGTTAGTAGTGCAGATGAAACCCTAATCATTCTGGAATTCTCAAAATCAGAAAACATCATTAGTTCTGTTTTCACCTGTTAGAGATGGAGAAATAATTATTTACAGCAGCTGCTGCCACCCTTACCTCTCCTACTCACAGAAGATATTGCAAATTCATCGCTATGCTTCTTGCTGCTGAGCCATAGCAAGACCTTGCTGTCCATCTCAGCACAGCCCTCTAGAAAACCGCTGCCACTTAATAGAAATTTCCATATATCAAAAGAATATTAAATTTATCAGACTTACCTTGGTATGAATACTGGTTTTACCACTTACTGTGTGTCCTTAAGTCAGACAGCAAATCTTTCTTGGCCTCAGTTTATTTATATATATATATTATATATATATAATTTTTTAACTTATATATATAGTTTATATATATATAATTATTTATTTATATATATTTTTATTTATATTTTATTTATTTATATTTTTATATATTTATATATTATATATAAATATATATTTTTATATAGCTTATTTATATATTATATATGCATATATAATATGTATATTGTATATACATATAATACATATATATAGTTTTAATACATACAATATATAATACATATACATATTAAATATATGTAATACATATAATAATACATATAATATATAATAGTAATACATATAATATGTATAAATAATGTACATATAATAATACATGTAATATGTATATTATATATGAATAAACAGTATAATATTATATATGTATATATGTATGTATAATATATAATACATACATATATACATATATAATATATATAAACAGTATATATATAATATATACGTTATATGCATAATAGGAATTGTAACTATTCCACTCTGTTATGTTCTTACAGACATCAAATGAGTTAATTTATGCTCCTAGAACAAGGGTCAGCAAACTAGAGCCTACAGGCTAGAGCCTATGTCCTGCCATTTGTTTCTGTATAACTAAAGAGCTTCAGAATGGTTTTCATATTTTATTTTATTTTATTTATTTATTTATTTATTTATTTTTTTTTTTGAGACGGAGTCTCGCTCTGTCGCCCAGGCTGGAGTGCAGTGGCGCGATCTCGGCTCACTGCAAGCTCCGCCTCCCGGGTTCACGCCATTCTCCTGCCTCAGCCTCCCGAGTAGCTGGGACTACAGGCGCCCGCCACCACGCCCGGCTAATTTTTTGTATTTTTAGTAGAGACGGGGTTTCACCGTGTTAGCCAGGATGGTCTCGATCTCCTGACCTCGTGATCCGCCCGCCTCTGCCTCCCAAAGTGCTGGGATTACAGGCGTGAGCCACCGCGCCCGGCCATAATGGTTTTCATATTTTAAAATGGTTGAAAGAAATCAAAATAAGAATATTTGTGGCATGTGAGAATTACATGATATATAAATTTCAATATTCATTAGGTTTTATTGGAACACAGCCACATGCTTTTGTTTAGGTATTGACTATGGCTGTTTTTGTGCTATAATGGCAAAGTTGAGTAGTTGCAGCAGACACCATATGGCCCACAAAGCCAAAGTATTTCCTACATTGACCTTTACAAACAAAGTTTGCTGTCTCCTGTTCTAGAATGATAATGGGTATTTTTTTAAATACTCTAAATTGCTTTTAGCTCCCTTACCTTTTTCATTTCTTGTTTGAGAATCCATCTGAGAGCAAAAAGGGCTCCAGGACCAAGAATGGGAAATGTTTAAGACCTTGCAATAGATCCACAGACATATACGCAAAGCCAAATATTTGCTGTTATTCTGTCCTACTTTTATTAAACTGCGAACAGCTCATCTCAGAGATAAATATTCATTTGTAGATGTAATGTATATTCCAATGACTCTTGCCCACAGGTGCTAAAGATAAGTCATAACTACTGAAAAAGTGCTCATAAGAATTTCTCGAGAGCATACTACCCACACACAAACAAATATGATAAGTTTACTAATCAGCTATCACACTGCATTCTCTACTTCTTACTTTTTAACTGTAGCTCAATCTCCTGGAGGGCACCATGACCACTTAGAAGTCCCATCTCTGCTGATTCTCACAGTTTCTCATGCTGGGCTCTGCTTTTGACCAGTGTCACTTGTGTTGGGTACAGCTGTGGTTTCTGAGCCTTCCTCTTACACTTGGCATTCTTGCCTAGACTGATGCGTATCTACTCACGCCAGGAACAGCAGCTTACCTTGTGGATCTATATGTACACCAGGCACTGCCACTGCCTGCTACATTAGAAGCAATATGTTTCTTCATAAATACTGTGCTGCTGAGTGGAGAAGAATGTTTGTCCCTCATTTTTATGCTACATTCTACTAACGAAGCTACTTGGGTTCCAATAACTGAATTTAGTGAGTATGACTGCAAACTGTTTACAAATCATTTCTCATGTATAAATCATGCCCTGCCCTCTCTACCCCAAGATCCGACATGAATGACTCTAATTGTGGAAAGGAGTCACGTTGGATGGAGGAACAAATCCATGTTTCAGAACAGTGCTAGAATCTGATTCACCACTCCATCCCAATACAAAGGCTTTGTTTTAAGGCCAAGCTTCTCATATCTGAATATTTCTACCCTGAGGATAGTATGCATTTCTCCGGAGGCTTCAAAGTTCCTAATGCAAATTGACTTTTGGCGAGTCAGCTCCATAATTTCTTCAGGGATGTTTGGTCAGGTATGAACTACAGTGGTCACCCAGCTATTAGCGGATTCTAGATGCCCGCTATGCAGGATTGTCTTTAAAGTAGTCATAACAGAGTTTCAATAAGGAAAAAAAAGTTGGTACCATTAAGTGTACCAACTCTGGAAACAATTGCATAAACTTCTCTTCTGTCATACACAATGTTTAAGATAATAAAGCCTATGCTTATTAATATTTAAACTTATGCTTATACTTATTTTATTAATATGCTTATTAAGACCAAAGATCATGCTTATGATGTTTAAAGTCCTTTTTAATACTTCTTGTAATGTAGAGATTCTGAAGTTGTTCTGGCTTTACATAGTACTGAATTTAGTAAGAAAATACCCTGTGGAAGACCCTGTGAATTACAGTCCCAATCCCTATTTCTCTTTTATATACTTTACCAAGAGAATTACTAAAGCTCAGGACTACAATGTGCCCAGCTAAATACTTATTATACCTGCTTTCTTTGCAGACAAATGTGACCACAACACTGTTTTATTCAATGAGTTGTCAACAGTGGTATACTGGGAATTTTGAGAAAAAGATATTTTCTTTCCTGGTAGAAAGGAATAGACAGAGCTGGTACCATGGTCTTCTTCTGACCCTATCTTCTCCCATTATACAAATATGTTGTCTACAGTCATAACAGCAATTTGGTGAATGTGAGGTGAACAAGCATACAAATGAAATACATAAGACAGTGAGTAAAAGGAATAGAAGGAACTTGTATCTCTGCAAACATTGTTCTGCTAAAACCAACATCTGCAACCACTTCCAGACTTCTTGTTATGTAAGAAAAAAATTTGCTTATATTTGTTTTATGTTACTATTGTCCAGTTATTCTTCTATTTTCAGGTTTAAAAAAGTTCCTAACTGATATACTAGGTTTAGCCACATAGAATTGCTGATGTTAACCACATTTAAGTTATAACAATAATAAATTTCATATGGTCAATGTAATATAACTTATTTCATTTGTTTTAAATATATGTCATTGAGCAAGACTTCCATCTGGTATCACAAAGCTAAATATAAATACGAGTTTCAGTATATAAAAGTATTTCTTTACAATTCATAGTAAACCAATTTCCATCTTTACTGATGTTCGTTGTGCCAATGATATGAAACACTGGATAAAACATTCTCCTAAAAAACATAAAAAAAGAGAGATAGGGAAAGAGGGAGAGAAAGTCAATATCAACACTCAAGTGAAAATTTAAAATATAATAATCAAGGCTAAGATGTACATAAACTCAAATACATTATTTATTGTATATTCTCTGTGTATTTCCCAGAAATTAATTTTGAAAATATGTTCTAAGGGAATTGTACAAGATAATGACAAACAACCAAAAAAACTCTATTACAACATTGAATATAAGAACAATGTACTACTTGGAAACAGAATAGGTAAGCAAATTCTGGGGCATCCACTACAATGCCCATTATGTAAAAAAAAAAAAAAAAAAAAAAAACCATAAAAAGCTTAAATTGGCAATTAAAGTTACACTCGATAACACATATATTGCTGTTCCTTTCAAATACTATCCTTTTCTTATAGAATTATGTCTACTTTGTTCTGGGAAATGATCTATCATAATTCTGTTCTGACTTATTTTTTTAAATGTGGGATCAGAGAAATCATAAATAGTTCTTTTTGCCGATAAAAGCTATAAGATAGGATGTTCAGCCTGAGCTAGATATACAAAGAGGAATCAAAAACATGTCAGAGAGATTCCAGCGATGGTTTGAGTGTCTGGTAGTTCTTGAAACTAAGTAAGAGCATTCATCTTTTCAGAGACCGAAGGTTAAAATTTCCTTCAGTTGTTTGATATAAGCTTTTATCTTTCTAACAACTAACTTTTTCCCCCCTCAACCAGTTTGATTTCCTGTTCTGTCACGTGCATACAAATGTATCTTGATATAATCACATTAGAATGTTGGGTGAAAAAGAAAATACAGCTGGACATAAAACTGTACTTACATGTACAAAGACAGCAATTATATGTAATTAAATATACAAAGTAAAATGTTGTTTAAAATTCTACAAAAATTTTGAACTCATTCAAGTAAATAAATATTATTGAGCACACACTCTGTACCAGATATGCATGTCAGAAACTGAAGTTACAAGTAATTTTTGTCTTTTGGTATTAGGATTATTGTTAATTTTGTATGTCTTGTTTTTCTTTCAAAATGTTATAAAATAAATTGGTATTTTTAAGAAAATATTCATAGTAGAGAATGGGGGAAAATACAATTTTTGCTACACTATGCTTCTAGTGTGTATAAATGTATATAGGTATAAAAATTTTAGTTTTAACAAGTATGCTAAGATATTATACTGTTAAAATTATAAAAAATGAAGACAATAAGACATTAATTTTATTTATCAGGGTTTCCTAACCTGTGTGCTGAGGAACACAATGTGCTTACAAATAGGTTAGAGGAGTGCAGAGTTATGATACCAGCCTCCCTCATAGCTGAATGGAGATTGGGTGGCCAGATGCCTAAGCTGGTTGCCACAAAGTAAAAAGAAGCTTATACGGTCCACGTCAGTAAGCTATAGATTTATTATTACCTTATAGGTGGGCTACAATAGATGTTTGGGAGCATTGCTTTATGTGATCATCTTGGTTCTTCCTCTAGTTAGGATGTCCACTAATTTTGAGTATTATATCTCTTTCCATCAAAATAGCAGATGGACAAAATGTAAAATCCATCTGCTCAAATAACTAGAAATCCTTGAAAGAAAATAATTAATTAAAATAATTTTGAATGCAAGTGTGAGTTGCTAAAAATGGAAGGGAATTGAAGAGAAAAATGTAGGAAAAAATGAAATACAATTTCTAAACTGTCCATGGTTTCAGAAAAATTTGGTGTTCAAAACATAGGGATTCTGTTTATTGTTCATATGGGAGCTAACGTCTGGGTGTTTATTAGCTCCTAAATAGTCAGTGCTCAAAATAAATAAATAAATAAACATTTGTAGGAAAGTAGGAAAATATACCCAACAATTGGCTCAAATAAAAGATAATAATATTATTTTATTTTGCCTTGTCCCTGGGTAAAACAAAAATATGTCTCTTCTGAGAAATCAAAATCCAAAAACTTTATCTTGAATAGATTTAGGTTCAGAATTATCCATGAGGTCTGCATAACTCCAATAAAAAATTAATGATAAAAATTTGTACCCTCTAGTGATAAATCTGGGATATTTGGCAGAAGCATAGAAAAGGCACTCAGGAGATAATTTCCACAACCAATACTATAGGGATACCAACACACACATATACTAAGAAATAAAGTTAAGTTAAAATATAATGACAAAATTTACAAAATGTAAAAGAGAACAATCTACTTGGCCCCTGAATCAACAGACTCAACAAATATGGCAAACTCAGCCCCAAGAACTCAATGCAGTACAAAAAAATAAAAAACAATATAAAATAAATAAATATGCTTAAAATAGTTAATAAAATAGTTTTAATAAAATCTCTATAAAAAAGACATTTAGAAAGTATAAGACCATTTGTAAAAGAGCAATATTTTCATGTTTCCTGAGAAACTCATTAGATGGGATAAACACCATTTAAGGAACAATTCAGGATGAAAATGGTAAACCTTTAAAAACCTGGAAAATTTACCAAGGTGAAACACAGAGTGATAAAGAGGTGAAAAATATCAAAGACAGTAATACACAAAAGTCAACAACTTTCTTGTATACAAGCAGTGAGCTGGCAGTATTTGAAATTAAAAAAATACTATTTACATCAATCCTCCAAATAAAACACTTACGTATAAATCTGATAAAATATATTAAATGTTTACATGAGGAAAATGACAAAACTCTAATTAACAATATCAAAGAAGACCTAAGTAAGTGGTGAGATATTCCATGTTCATGTACAGGAAGACTCAATATTGTCAAGATGTTAGTTCTTTCCAACTTGAGTAATAGATTTATTGCAATACCAATCAAAATCCCAGCAAGTTATTTTGTGGACAAACTTATTCTGAAGTTTCTATGAAAGGTAAAAGGTCCGGATTAGCCAAATCAATAGTGAAGAAAAAGAGCAAAGTCAGAGGACTAACACTACTGCACTTCAAGATCTAGTATAAAGCTATAGTAATCAAGACAGTGTTGTTGAAAATATAGATGAATAAATCAGTGGAACAAAATAGAGAGCCCGGTAATAGACCATGTGATTCTAGTCAACTGGTCTTTGACAAAGGGCCAAAGACAAGACCTGGTCAACCAGACATTTACATTAAAAAAACATGGACTTAGAAACAAACTTTTACACCATTCACAAACATTAACTGAAAATGCATTATAGAACTAAATGCAACCCACAAAACTAAAAAAAATACAATACAAAATAAAACTGTAGGAAGATAACACAGTAGAAAATCTAGATGATCTTGGGTTTGGTGATGATTTTTTTAGCTACAATACCAAAAATACAATCCATGAAAGAAATAATTGGTAAATAAGACTTCATTCAGATAGAAAACTTCCATTCTGCTAAAGACAATGTCAAGAGAAAGAGAAGACAATCCACAAACTGGGGACCGAGGGAGGGTACATGGAAATTCTCTGTAATTTGCTCAATTTTACTGTGAACCTAAAACTTTCTGAAAAATAATGTTTATTAATTTTTAAAAAGTAAGAAAGGAAACAAAAACAATGCATATTTATTATCTACAAAATATGACAGCAGAAATAAATCCAAATACATCAGTAATAACAATAAGTAGACACAAGCCAATGTCATCAGTTGACAAAAACTCTCAAAATGAACTAAAAAATAGAAATCTGTAATATGATGTACACTAGAATTACACATAAAACAAAATGACAGGGAAAGATTTTATATGAAAGGATATAAAATGATGTAGGCAAATACTCAAGAGAGGAGTTAACATAATGATATTAAGCAGACAGTTTTGAATTTAAGACAGGACCATTATTATAGATAAAGTCAATACTGTACACATGATTAAAGGAACAATTTGACAAGATACTATAATTCAGAACAAGTATGAGCTTCAAAGAGAGCCTCAAAACATATCATTCAAAATTTGTCTGTATTGTGAGAAAACTGGACATATCTTAAATTAGTATGGGAGATTATAATACCACTCTTTCAGAAACTAATTCATCAAGCAGAACAAAAATCAGAATATAAATGATTTAAACAAAACAAATAACAAGTTTAGTCCCCACATATTGGCATGTATATATAACTCTTTCACCTGTATGATTAGTGAATATACATTGCATTCAAGCAAGCATTTATTAAAGTTAACCATATATTAAACTATAATACAGTAAATACCAAATAGCATGTAGGGACTGTACCTACTATAGGCAATACTTTAGAAAGTAAACTAAGACATAGCCACGCCAAACAATAATAATAATTATAACAGCAAATAACAATTATAGTAAATGCTGTATACTAATTACACACATACATGTTATCACTTTAACACAAAATATGACAAATTGGTATTTATCTGAAATCTTGTTTCCATTTTCTGGAACAGCTCTTTTCTTACTTCTAATTGGATGTTAAATGTTATATGATTTATTATTATTTCTTTAAGATTCATAAATGTAAACTTTTTAAAAGGAAAGCATAAGTAGGACTAAGGAAAAATTAGCCATATTTAATAATAAATAATGTCATACTGTCTTCTAATCCATGATAAGGTAAGAAATTTTATCCTTTCTGTTACCTTTTCCAATAATATAGTAGTCTCCCCTTACCCACGAGAGTTAAGTTCTAAGACTTCCAGTGGATGCCCAAAACTGTGAATGGTATCAAACTCTCTCTATAGTCAGCCATTCATATGTGCGAGTTCTACATTTGTGGATTCAAACAACCATGGATCAAAAATACAGTATTCACAGAAAGCAAAACCCACAGACATGCAGGGCTGACTTTTCATATCTGAGGTACCACAGTGCCAATTGAGGGACTTGAGCATTGAGAAATTTGGTATCAGTTGGAGGTCCTGAAACATCCCACACAGATATCAAGGGAAGACTGTACTGTTTTTTTCTATACATGATATAGAATGATGCAATTTAATGTCTAAATTAGGCACAGCTAGGAGATTAAGAACAATAACAAAATAAAATAAAACAATTGTAACAATATAATGTCATAAAAGTTATGTGCATGCAGTCTCTGTCTCTCAAAACATCTTATTGTACTGTACTCACACTTTTAGATCACAATTGACTGTGATAACTAAAATCACAGACAGCCAAGCAAAATCACAAATAAGAGGGAGCCACTGTATTTGCCTTAACTGCCTTCAGCATTTAGGACATCATTCTTTATTTTTATTTAGAGGTAAAACTAAATACAATCAATCCTAAGATTCATTGTGATTTCCAGCTCTGTTTTTAACAAGTCCCCATTATGCTGATTTCTTGTGTCAGTCTGATTGATAACATCAAGCTAAGCAGCCTCTATGCAAAAGCATTTGAGCATGAAATACTTAGCATTTTACCTTCCTGCAACAGCAAATTTTAAAACTTATGGGAATTATTCTCAAAAACGCCCATATACTCTGTATCTACAGCCCTGTTTTGGTAGGCCAGCTTTTGCAATCAAGTCCTTTGCATCTATAAATTCATCATATAGGATATCCATCTCTAAAATAACCATAATTTTAAAACTCACATTGAATGTCATCAGAATTTAAACTTTTTTTTTTTTTTTTTTCAGGAAAAGTGGATTTAAAGCAGGGAGGTAATTAGAACTTGTGAAGTTTAAAGTAAAAGCCAGTTAAGTAACAGTCTTAGTGAAAAAAAAATTGAGAAAAGTCCTGTTTATCTTTACCTTTGCCATTTTCTAGTCATATATTTTGGGGCTCTAAAGCAGTCTTATTTCTATTTTAAAAGGTCATGTTTTCCCAATATGTATTTTTATCACAATCTACACATAACAACAGCAAATACTTCAGATGCAGTTAGTTCATCTTTTTTTAGACTGCTCATGGCTTCTACAAAAGACCATCATAGAATTTTGGGGGAACAGAACATGAACTTCTGTTTTACTCTAATCATTCTCTTTTGTTTTTGTTGTCAATGTATTTCCAAATTAGAAATGGACACTATTTTTCTCATACTTTGAAAATATACTTTTACAGGAGATTTTAAAATTGTTTCTATGGTGGGCAACATGTAGGCCACATGTTTAGGACATTATCTACTCTTACTTCTATGAACTGAAAATTTTATTGTGTGGTTATGCACATTTTGAAGAAATGAAAAATGACAAAATACATTCATTATGAAAGCCTCAATATCAAAGATAAGCAAATTACACCTCTTTTTGTAATCTTGCATAGAAAGCATGCAGGACATTTAGCTAAGTAAGAGGTGTTCATTTTCTGTGGTTGAAATTTATGGAGGAATGGAATTTGCCAAAACTTGTATTTGTAATTTTTGCTGAATATGCAGGTAGATGAGCATGGCCTAGTTTGTATTTAAACAAAATATCAGCAATCTATTCTTTTCTGGTTTCTGTGGTTTTATTAATTTTTTTGTAGAAATTAAGCTCTGTATTTGATTTTACAAACTGAAGTACTTAAGAGTACCCTGTTGTTTTTGTTCTAATGATCTGACATATCACTTGATATACTGTAAGAAGGCATGATCATTAATATTAATAAAATCTGACAGAATCAGCTCTACACTATAAGAGGCTGATGTCAGACATTTTAGTTGCAACCTCTGTATCAGGAAATGTAACTTTACTCATTTTCATAGAGCAGTCAAGGGATAGATGTGATATTATGCATTGTGTATGTGGTATGTCCACGCTAATGCGGCAGCCACTATTTTCAATAGACCATCTGTGTCTTTTGGTGAGATGAAAAACATTTTGATTGATTTAAAATTACTTCCTGGTGTTGGCTTGTGAGATTCAGTCTTCACATATGCTTTCTTCACCTCCTCAAACGCAGATTATTTTCTGTATATTTTATAGTAAGCTCTGTTTTGGTTATTTACCTTCTGAATCCTCTTTTAGATATTCTTCCATCTGCCATTAAATTGTACAGTCATTTAAGCTTCTTTTCCATTGAAGGCTAGGTCATTTTGATGTTGATATTATATTTGTTCTCGTTTCCATTATGGGAATTGTTAGAAAATCTAGTCACAATATTCACAATGTTAACAACTAAACTAGTATTATCTTGATACAAATCATGATAGTTAATCCATCACCAAAATCAAGGACAAATTATGCATGCTCACAAATAAAACACACTTAAGTTATACAGTTAACTTGCTTCAGTCAGGTGATACAACACTGGATGATCCATTATTAGAAACTGCAAAGCATGATTGCCAACATAGGTGGCCAGGGAAAAAAATAGCAACAGGGACTATAGAAAGCAGATGGTCCATGCTGCATCCATTTAATGGTAAAACAATGCTGCTTTCAACCCCTATTTTTTGTCTGTCTTAGAACTCCTGTACCTTTCTCCCAACTTTCCATACCTATTGCTGAAAAAATGGGTGTTTTTGAGTTTCAGGGAGGGATTTCCAGGTTGTAGAACTTTTCAGTGCTAAAATCAAGACATTCCCCATAAAATGAATAGTGGGCCAGCCCAGCTGTCCATGATGCAATAATATGCAAAATTATTACAGTAAAGAAAACATGTTCCTGATCCCTATGCATTTGCAAAATTTAAGGCACGTTTCTCGATTTCTAAATGTATCTTCTGAATTCAGGTATTGAATTTTAGATAATCCACTAACATTATTCACCATATTAATATACTAAAGGAGAGAACTATAGGATAATGTGACTGAGTGGAGAAAAAAAAAGTAACACAACATTCGTTTATAATTAAAACTCATAGAAAACTCCTAGAATAAACTTGTTTAACTTGGTAATGTGTAACTAACAATAAAACATAGAGAATATACTTACTGCTGGATTTCTGGAAACATTATTTTTAAAATCAGAAGCAATACAAGAAAGTTCATGATCCTTGTATCTATTTACGTGACACTGGAAATTCTAGTAAGTATAAGAGAATAATAAAAATCTTGATGTGGAAAATAAAATAGCATTATTTACAGTTTCTAGATAATCTATTAGAAATAATAAGAGATATATTCAGTTTGAAGAATCTAAGAAAAATTTCTGAAATCAATAGCACACTTTACCACAATAAAACCATTAGGAAATTGAAGTAATAAAAATACCATTCTCGATACAATCCCAAGTCATAAGATTTATGGAAATTAACCCAAGATTACATGTACCCAGAGTACATGTTCTTTATGAAAAAAAGTATAAAACTTGATTAATGGACATAAAAGAAGGCAAATAAATGGACATATTATAACTTATTGATAAATTAGAAAATTTGAAATCATAAAGATTGCATTCTCCCCAAGCAAAATAAGAAATTAAATACAATTTCAATCAAAATCTCATCAGGATATTTTATGAACTTGAAAAACTATGCTAAAATGTGTATGTAAATACTAAGGGCCAAGAACACCCAGCCAAATTTGGATATTTTCCCAACAAAATATCAAAATTTACTACAAAACTAGACCACTTTTAAGAATCCTATAGAAAGGAGGCAATGTAATAAATCTAAGAACAATTACGGAGTCATGTGTTACTTAATGACAGGATATATTCTGAGAAGTGTATCATTAGGCAATATTGTCATTGTGCAAACATCATTGAGTGTACTTATGCAAACCTAGATGGTATAGCCTACTAAACACCAAGGCTATATGACTGTTTTGCTTCTAGGCTTCAAAACTCTATAACATGGTAATGTACTGAATTCTGTAGGCAATTGTAACAGAATTGAAAGTATATGTGTATCTAAACATATCTAAATACAGAAAATGTACAGTAAAAATATGGTATAATCTTATGGTACTATCTTGTCTAAGAAGCCCATGATTGACTGGTGCATGTGGTACATTACTTTATACTTATGAGAGATGGCATTTTAAACCCCTGAGAAATAATAGAATATTGGCAATCTATAGAAAAAATTAAAATTGAATTCTAAAACACCAAATGTATTAAATTCCAAATGGATTTAAAATGTAAGTGTTAAAATTATTATAATATACTTTGGAAGATATCTATATAATTAAATGACATTTACACTTAAGATTTTATATCAATGAGCAATCAAACAAAAAAATGATCAACCAAATGAAAAAAAGAGAAAGCCTAGGGAAAGTGTTTGTAACACATAAAATTAACAAAAATACAAAATTGAGAGACTATCAAAGTCCTATAAATCTATTAAATGAAAAGGGAAAAACACCCTTCCTCAATTAAAAAAAAATGAACAAAGTTAGGAAAAGACAATTTATAAAATAGGAAAATCAAACTGAAAATATCTTCAACTTCGTTATTAATTAGAAAGTGCAAATTTAAATTTCAAGGTACCATTAAAACCATGTGAGGATTAATAAGTTTGAAATCGTTAATAAGTTTGAAAACACTAAGTGTTGACAAAGCTGTGGGGAAATAGAATCTTTTATGCTTTCCTGGAGGTAGCGCAATGAGACACAATAAATTTTGAAAGCAAAATGACAATATCTAATAAAGTTGTAAACTTGCATGAACTTTATTATTTAGTAATTTACATCCGTGAGTTCACAAGGGAATAGAGTTAAGCATGTTAATTGCATGACTATGTGTAATAGAAAAGAGAAGGAAGCAACCTAATTATTCCTCTGTAGAGCAATAGATAAATAAGTGGCTTAAGTACATGCATTCAACATAGGTGAATAGTAAAGAATAATTAAAATGAACAAACTAATTCTATTTTATGAAGTGTGGATAAACCTTAAAAATATTCTTGAGTTGTAAAAAGGAAATTACAGGCCAAGCACGGTGGCTCACACCTGTAATCCCAACACTTTGGGAGGCTGTGGCGGCTGAATCACGAGGTCAGGAGTTTGAGACCAGCCTGGCCAATATGGTGAAACCCTGTCTTTATTAAAAATAAAAAAATTAGCTGGGCGTGGTGGCACTTGCCTGTAGTCCCAGCTACTTGGGAGGCTGAGGTAGGAGAATTGCTTGAACCCAGGAGGGGGAGGTTGCAGTGAGCCGAGATCCCGCCACTGCACTCCAGCCTGGGTGACAGAGTAAGACTCCATCTCAAAAAAATAAATAAATAAAATAAAAAGGAAATTACAAAGCAGTATGTATATAATACTTTTTTTGTATGTTTAAACCATACAATAGAACAATGTTTATGGATGCATGTATATCTACCAAGCGACCAAAGCATATAGCAGATTGACATTCACCAATTTCAGGTGAGTGTTCCTTTGTAGGGATTTAGGAAATGGGTAGGGAAGGTGAAAGTGAACTTTAGTATACCTGTCACATTTCACATCTTTGCATGAATCAAAAATAACAAAATGTAAACATCTTTTTGGTGATAGTTGGGGGTATATTGCTATCCATTTAATTGTTTCATGGTTATTTGAAATACTTTGTAATAAAAATTTGGTGTACATGTATGTGTTTGTGTGTCCCTGTGTGTGTATATTTCAGACAAAGGAAAGTATGAACTCCACTGAATTGTTTGCTGATTATTCCACATATAGTTTATTATGCCTAGCTATTGTACACTGATTTGAGTGTAATATTTTAAGAGAGATGTTGACCATTGACAAAAGAAGTACCTCGACATGTACTTGAAGAGTAAGATAATGATTAATTGAGATAGGTACCTAACAGTATTTTAGTATCTACTGTATTCCAGATTTCCTATATGAGTGTGTAATTAATGTGTGTATATGTATAAATCAAATAAGTCAATATGTAGAAAATGAAACAACTACAATTGCTGAAGCCAGTGTTAAACCTACTTATCTTGATGAAAATATCCATGGTATTTTCTGTAATTCATACTTCCTTTCTGAAAGGATGTGAGGCAGGATGGTACCGTGGAATTACCCTGAAGGACCGGCAACCATGCAAAACTGAATACATGTCGCCTTAACAAGAAAATCTTGAGAGTTATTTTGAAAAACTTCCACAAGGAGCAATAGGAAAGGAAAACAGATTAACGTATTTTTGGTTGTTGAGACATCCAGATAGGATTAATCTGTGAGTAACAGTTAGAATGAGGAAAATATCAATTCACTAGGTATTGTTCTAGTTTCCAGTGGCTGCTGTAACAAGTTATCACAAATGTGGTGGCTTAAAACAAAGGAAATTTATTCTCTTACAGTTGTGAAGGCCAGAAACCCAAAATCAGTATCGTTGGACCAAAATCAAGGTGTTGGCAGGACTGTGATCCCTCCTGAGACTCTAAAGGAGAATCAACTTCTTGCATTTGCGGGGATTCTACTGGTTGTATCCCTCCAATCTCTGCCTCTATGGTCACAATGGCTCTCCCTCTTTCATAGCGTGTCAAATTTCTCTCTTTCTTTCTGCCTCCCTCAAAAAGGATACATGTGATTGCATTTAGGGACTACTCTGATGATGGGGGATATTCTCCCAAATCCTCTTTGCCATTTTAGATAACATTCATAAATTCCGTGGATTAAGATGTGGACATCCTTGAAGGACCATTATTCAGCCTACCACAGGTATGAAGCGACATTTTCACAAACTACTATGGACTCCTAATCTTTCTAATTGTCCGCCATCTCTTCACCCTTTTTCTGATTATGGGCACACCAATGTTGTGAAACACTTCTCCCAAACTCCATATAGATCTGATGAGAGGAGTCTAATTATAGCTCTCCACTTCTCTAGGATTGTGCACATGGTGTGGGTTTGTATCACATTTCAGAGGTGAAGATTCATACACCAGTGTGTGGACTCATGGCCCATGTCTGACTAATTGGACTTTATTATCTACTGTTATACGCAACCATATATGAGAAAGACTCTCTTTTCCTGGAATCTATAGCTAATCTGATTAAACTTTAAAGCTGGTAGTAGTCCGGTTCACTATCACAGGGAGGAAGCATAGTGAGAGGAGAAAAGAATGAGAGTAAAAAAAAGGCCGGGCGCGGTGGCTCACGCCTGTAATCCCAACACTTTGGGAGGCCGAGGCGGGCGGATCACGAGATCAGGAGATCGAGATCATCCTGGCTAACACGGTGAAACCCCGTGTCTACTAAAAATATATACAAAAAAATTAGCCGGGCGTAGTGGCGGGCGCCTGTAGTCCCAGCTACTCGGGAGGCCGAGGCAGGAGAATGGTGTGAACCCAGGAGGTGGAGGTTGCAGTGAGCCGAGATCGTGCCACCGCACTCCAGCCTGGGCGACAGAGCGAGACTCCTTCTCAAAAAAAAAAAGAAAGAAAAAAGAAAAAAGAAAAGAAAAAGAAAAAAAAAAAGAGAAAAACACCCCAAAGAATCAGAATGAAAAGAGTCCTCTTGGCATCAACTTTTGCCTCAAGTCAGTTCCATTTCTGACTTCTTTAGTTCTGTGAGGGAATTAAAACCCTGTTTCTGACTTCAGTTAGGCTGAGCTGGATTTCTAACACCTGAACAAAACTGTTTATTCTGTGGGGGAAGCAATTCACAATGAATGTACGATTGGACAGGAAGATCTCAAAGTTCCCTTCAAACTCTACAACCTCTTGCTTCCAAATATGCTTAAAAAAACCTGGGTAAAATAAAAAAAAATCAAAATATTGTCAGTTACAACACTGCACTTTGTATGACTTTTCTGAAACGTGGTATGTATAACACAGTTATGCTACAAAGTCACTGTTGAAGAAGAGGATACAATGTCAAACACAGAGGAACCTAAGCTTTTGCTTGCTATGGAGGATATCTCAATTATCAGTAGAAGCTGTAAAAATAAGCATCCATAAACCAGCTTCCAAATAAATAAAGAAACAAACAACTAGAGAAACAAATACTCAAAGTCCAGCAGCTATCCCTGAGAGTCCTAAAATATCTTGAAATTTCCTGAAAAAATTGCTCCAAATGATTCATTTAAATTCTGTTCCCAATTAATATTTCCTTTATCTCATTTCTTAAAAAAATTCTAGAATTCTGTATCAGAATTTATAAAATTTTATGTATGTGGATACTATATTGTCCAATTCAATAAACACACTGAAAAATGTCATACTATTGCTCTTATATGTTTATATGTTATTTAAGAGTTGATAAGATAGTTTATTTCTAGCCATTTATAAAATAAAACAAAAAAATTAATCAGGCCCTTGTTGTGGAACATAACTTCCTGTTATAATATTGTTTCCAAGGGGATATCAGAACTCAGATCCACCATTTCAACCTATAATGCCTTTTCCAGGAATGGAAACATAAGAATATTTGAAATATAGTTATAAAATATTACTTTTAAAACACAATTTTAGAAAGCATGAGATACCACATTCTAATTGAAATTAAAAACACCACCACTGTGATGTTTGGACAAATAATAAATAGATCTTGATACCTTAAATGTTGTCCCCAATCATCTAATGGATCACTCTTGAGATAATTAGCCCAAGAGTTTAAGTTGAATGTGAAGGATCATGATATTAATTAAATATGTACTTGTAAGATTTGTAAAGCAAAACATTATCCACACTGACATAGCAGCTCTTGTTCTTTGCGCAATGTGGAATAAAGCTGCTTTTTATCATAAAGAAAAGACACTGGACAAAAGATTATGTTTCAAAAGAAGATTGGTTGTGGTGAGCAGGTGGATCACTTTTGCACCCCTTTCCCATTTAATAATAAAAATTTCAGTTTATTTAAGGTATCTAAGTTTTAGCACACAGCCAAGCCTTGTATATAGCTGCCCATACCCCCATTTCCTAAGATAGGCAATATTTGACTTAAGTTAATCAGTATATTCTATACTCATGAGCAGCATAGAGGCAGACATATGTTGTAAACATTCCAATCGTGAGGAATCTCAGAGTTTTCTTGGAATGTTAAGACAAAGCATTCTCTCTTCCTCTGCATGCTGTAGTGTGTGAAATGTGAAAACTGGAGCCACCTTGAGGAATGCTGCCTGAAGTTTAAACCAACATGCACAATTAAGATTACACACACACACACACACACACACACACACACACAGAAACAAGCACACATAGGCCAGGACACTGAAATAAACTATAAACTGTCCCTGAAATGTACCCTATCTTTCGACTTCCATTGATGAGCCAACAAATTCTCTGTTGTTGGAGCAGTCTGAGTCAGATTTTCCATAACATGTAGCTGAATTCATTTTCTCAGATACAATCACCATTAGTAAATTAAGCATATTATGTTACTAGTATCTTTACCTCCAGTGTTTAAAGAATAACCTTTACATGAATGATAAATTATTGATATTAAAACAAAATTTAAAGTGTATCAACAAAAGAAAAAAATAGTTAAATCTAATTAACCAGAAAGTCGAGGAGAAGAGGAATTTATTTTTTTGAAATGTTCATTGTGTTGTGTTCACACAGGTTTCAAATAATATGGATTTATTAATAATATTTCTATGTTAAATCCTCACGAAGCATCTATGTATTTAAAGAGAAAGAACAGCTTACTTCAACTGATCATGAAATTATTCTAATTTAAGGACTAGTCTTAATGTCTAAGGACACTCAAAATGGGTCTTACTGTAATGGGACTCCTTAGACACTTCTCAAAGAAAGAGTTGCCTGGCCTTGGAACAAAAGAAGAAAATACAGATTCACTCAAAACAATAGTCTCTTAGAGTTTCAGGAGTAGAAATAAATTAAAATAGTATATAGATTTAAATTTTGCTGAAATTACTAAAACAGAAATGAGACAGGTCAGAGTAAATTATGACAGTTATGTAAGAAGAATCATGCATGTTTAAGCCTCAGAAGTATATTTAGCATCCCCTTTGGTATAAATGGTCTCTTGATCACTAAGAAACTGGGATACATATCTTATCTCCCAACTATAAGCAGGCATCATGGTATAGGAGAATATGCCCTTTCTGTTTTCTGCATCTATGATAAAGAAATCTCTCCCTATAATCTCTGCTGTTCCAAGAGAGTATAAGTAAAAATTTCCTCTCATTCCTGCAGCTCTTTCAGGCTTTAACCCCTCCCCATAATACAGTAGTGACTTATTCTTTAATCCATAAAAAAGCTAACATTTGGACCATTGCTGAACCTATCTTATCTCAATTTGTTCAGAATCCTTAAAGGTCAACTTAGAGGTCAAGTCACATCTTCAAATTCCAACAGAGAATTTATATGTACTTTGAACCACTTAAAACTTGTATTTATATGCTCACATTTTAAGTATTGAATGCTTTTTGATGAGTAATAATTTCACCAGAGAAAAAAGAGATTTCAAAAAAGAACACAGAACTAGATGATTATTTATAGGGAAAAAAGATAGATGTAAAATAATGTCTAAAGAGAAGAGCAGGAATGTGGCAGGATTATAATGTAATAATACTGTGTTATATCTTTGTCATAACATTAATAATGTTAAAATTGTACCCTAGCCATCCACTTTGTTATTAGATTTTGATTTGGATTATTACAGCAGTTTCTATGTGTTAGCTGCTTACACTGGTTCACACATTTAAATCTATGCAAGTATCTCATTTAATCTTCACTACACTCCATAAGAATATCACCAACCCCATTTGATAGATACAAATGTGAAGAATAGTGATAAAAATATCTGCCAATTCTAGAGCACGAGTGGGAGATAAATATAAGAATTATTTTACAATGCATAGGCTTTCACTATAAATTATACATTTTACTGCTTAACATGAACTTATGATCTTCTATGAAAAGGAATTTTCAGGGTTATCAAGTTTCCTAGGAAAAATAGTCAAAAGTTCTCTTAACGCTTTAAATAAAAAGAGCCCTATAAAATGTGATATTTTTAATGAAAACACATTATTTAATAGGGTTTTTATTAGATCTTAATTATAACATTTGAAAAACAATGAACATATAATTGAGTAAAACCATTCACTGTACTTTTGCCAAGAAGCAGTGAACATAATCCATGGTATGTCTTTGTGCTTGTTTCAGTGTTTGGATTGTATTCGAGAAAATAAATAATATTAAATCACAAAATGACACATACAGCTTGACTGAGTCATTAAGTTTTCAGTTAGACTAGCAAAGAAATAAAACATCTCTTTCAGATTCATCAGAATTTTTCAGCATAATTTTTCAATCCTGAGTCCACAAAGCACAACAGCATTCCCCATAAAGTTATGGTGGAGAGGATATGTTTAATTTACTTTTCTCCAAAAAGTTACTGTAAAACAATACAGTTTTAGACTATAGTCTCATAGTACCCTATCTTCAATTCATTGCACTTTACTATGGCATTCCTCCATTCTTTTTGTGCCTCCCTCTTCCTCTCTATTTATCCAAAACTTACCCATTTGTCAAGTCCATTATTTATCATGCCTGGAAAAGTTACTTAATAATTCATGCTAAGAACTAACCTTTTACATTTTATATCACCAATATTAATAATTTTTCACATATTAACACCATTGTTCACAAATTAATGTGTATTTTATAATCATAAAACTTTAAGTTCTATGAGGATATTGATTTTTAAATTAATCCTACCACAAAACATAACATTTTTAGGTTATAATAGATAATATATGTTTACTAAATTGAATAAATTGCCTCCATGAGATAGGTGGGTCCAGCCAGAGTGCATCCATTCAAACCTCCCTTAAGATAAAGCAAGTTCTCATGACTCATGTTATTGTAGAATGATAGATGTGAATGCAAATCTTTTCTCTCATCTTTTGCATAACTTCAAGGAAATTCCTGTGGCAAACTCATGGATCAGATAACAGAGAAGATTCTATGATTGCTGTAATTACAATTCTATTATTGCTGTAGTTCTATTTTATCTAAACACTTTGCTACATCTTGATGAAGTTCTGAGGCATTTCTTATAATACCAATGAACTGATGTATACAGGGAAACCTCCTATTCCAGACAGCTGATCATGACACAAACAAGATAAGATAAAAATTCTCCTATCATCTATTATAAAACAAGAGCTAAATTCATATAATACAGACATAATTATTTTGCTTTTCCAGTTTAAAACTGAAAACCACTATGGTTTTCCTATTTGAATATATAATATAAGTCCTCTCTCTCACATAAGTATATCTGAATGGATGAGGAAGACCACTCTTCCAATGATGACCAATCCATTAATCGACTGAATCAATCAGACAGTCTCTTCTGACAAACTGGAGACAAAGATTCTCAAAAGATAAGAAGACACTTAAGACAGAGAAAAAAGCTAAAACCAATCTATTATCAAAATATGATAGTCCACTTTTTTTTCTTTCTGATGCCATAATCGGCTTTTATTCTATTAATATTTGCATAATAAATCTCACTTTACTTGGGCAACATTGAGTAGGCTTATGGTCATTGAAATTAAACAAGACCCAAATATTAGTATTTATTAGTTGTGTTGGAATTGCAATACATTCTCAGAGAAAACCTAGAGAATGTAGAATTACTTTTAGGTCAAGTTGGCCTTATGTCTTAAATTGGGAAATAAGAAGTTTTCATCTGTAGTCACTTGACATTACATGTCCACTAAGGTTGTAACATTGGGGAACCAAACACTTTCTTCCATAGGATAGTCCAAATGGATTAGTAATACAGAGATATGTGGGATAGATAATTACTTATCAAAATACTAGGCAAGATTTTGAGAAAATAATTAACTTAATTGCTGGATTGGCAGTATTAACACACAAAAAGAAACACACCCATCTTTCAGTAAGAAGCCTTTACTACCTATAGTCAACATGCTGAGGTCTCTAAAAAACAAGTTCAGAAGGAGGTCCACATCATTTCTAAATTTTTCCCAACATTTTCTATTATGATAACTTTAAACATACAGGAGTATTATAGGAATTATACTATAATATCTGCACACCTGATGTCTAGATTCAGTAATTGTTAAATTTTAACTATATTATATACATGCTATGTACTCAATTGTTTTAGCAAAACTTGTTTTATACATTTGCTCATAGGTTTCAGATGTCAGATTTCTTTTTCTCTAAATCCTTCATCATGCATTTTCTAAGAATAAGATATTTGCCTATAGAAATGTCATTTGCATACTTAATAAAATTAGCAGTAATTTCCTAAAATCATCTAATATCCAGTTCTTACTCAAAAATTTTCTAACCTAACAATTTAGCATGAAGCTGATAGAACTAAGAAAAACAAATAATAAAATTCATCACTATGGTAGAAAAAGAGACTCACATAAGTAGCTTATTTGTCTAGGTAGAAAACATTGGAAAGTAGAAAATATTTTGAAATGTATATATTGCAAAAAAGTACATTTAATCAATTACTTAAAAATTTCTGTAAAAAGTTAAAACAGCTAATTAATGTTCCCCCAAATTGAAAATGGAAATAATAAAAACAAAAAAGATTTAAAAATTGAAAAAGGAAATAGCAAATATTATTTTAAAAAGAGCAGAATTTCATGAACTAGAAAACCAACAAATGAGAAAATATAATTTACAAGTCCAATTTTTCTTTTTTAAAAAAATTAATAACATTAACAATCCCATAAAACTGGACTAAAAATAGGTATTAAAAGGGCCCAAATGTTAATAGTAACAATGAAAAGGATAAAAACATTACATCAATAAAAGTGGTGAAAAGAAAATGAGTATGGTAGATTGACTGCAAAAATGGCTTCTATGCTTTTTCCCTCTGTCTTTTCTTTCACAATGTGACTTTGCAGGTCCTCCTATAGAGAGGTTGATTCTACTTCCACATCCTTTGAAGTAGGTCTTGTAGTTTTCTTGACCGACAAAATGTGGTGTAAAATGTTGATGTGCGAGTTCTAAGCAAAGGTCTCAAAAGGCCTTCCATGCTTCTAATCTCTCTCCCTCTTTCTGTTGAGCCCCTACTTTCTCCTTACGAACAAGCTCAAGTTGGTCCAAATGGATGAGAAACCATGTGAAGCAAAACCATTTGAGCCATAAAGGCATAGCTGAGGCTCCAGACATGTAAGAGGGCCCAGCCAAGAAAAGCAGAGCTGCTCAGCTTAACACAATTGACTGCTGCTGCGTAAGTGATCCCTCCAAGCCCAGCTCAGACTACAAGAACTGTGCCATGTTGCCAAGCAGAAAGTGCAATTCCAATAAAAACAAATTAAATAAACAAATAAGTAAACATGTAATAGTGAAAAGGCAGAACCAAAATTCTCACTATTTGCACATAACATGATGTCTTCACACAGAAAATCCCAAACAAATCTACATTTAAACTAAAATTAATGAATTTATGTAGCTCACCAGACCAAAAAACAAAACAAAACAAAACAAAACAAAAAAATCAAATCCATCCACACAAAGCAGTATATATTGTTTTAAGCCAGTAAATCTTAAGGTAGTTTATTTCACAGGGTGATTGTGGGAATACATAATCAAAAAAATCAGAATATTATAAACAAATTTATGCCAATAAATAGAAAAAAATAAATAAAATTCTTAGAAAAACAGATTTTCAAAACTGATAGAAGAAATAAAAAATCTAATTAGAATTGAATTTAAAAACCTATTAGAATTGAATCTAATTAAAATAATTATCTGGATAAAACTCCATATCCAGAAGAAACTCTGTACTCAAACCTTTAAACAAATAATAAATTATACCAGTCCTAAATAGCCACTTTTATAAACTGAGAATATGCCACATTCTTTTTATGAGTCCAGCATAACCTTGATACCAACATCCTAAAAAATAATTATTTCATCACTAAGTACAATGATAAACAAAATATTATCAAGAAAAATTATCAATTAATAAAATACAATGTATAAATTTTAAAAATGAATTTATTTCAGGACTTCAGGGGTGGCTTAAAATTTTTAGATCAATTAATACAATTTTCTAAATTAACAAAAAAGAGAATTATAATAATCATCTCAAATCCCATTTGTAATATTAAATAACAGAAAACTAGAAATAAAATAGAGTTTTCTTAGTCTGAAACAAGGCATTTATTTTAAAAATGGAAAGAATTATCAGATTTAATGATGAAATAATGAAAGATGTATGACTTCTGTAATGAGATAAGGATATCTCCTATGACCCATTAATAATTATCTGGCAAAGCCTAGCCAGTACAATAAGCCAAATAATTATATTGCAGAAATAAAAATCAACTTATGTGCAGACATGATTTTTTTTCATAGAAAATTCAAAAAAATATATACCTCAAATTATTGGGATTAGTTAATTGAGATGATCACTGGACTGGACATGAAGCTAGTATAAAAATAAATTGTAGTTACATATACTAGCAACAAACGGAAAGTAAATTTTTTGTTTGTTTGTTTTTAATGATACCATTTATAATGGCATGGATCTAATGAAGGCTGTGGAAACTTCAAGTAGAAAATAAACCATTGTTAAGAGATATTAGAACAAATAAAATAAATTGGGATATGCTATATTTATGAATTAGAAGACAATTCTCTCGTATATATAGATGCAACATAATCCCAATAAAAATGGTAGTGTTTTTTGAAGGGGATGGGAAATGACAAGCTGATTCTAAAAGATATGTAGAAATGCAAAGCAGGAAATAATAAAGTCAGTCTCGAATAATTGCAAATCAGCAATTTTATACTAATAGCTAAAAATCATCTTATAACACTTTACTATAAACAGTGTGGATTGAAACAAGGATTGATAAATAGACCAGTGGAACAGAATACAGGGTTTACAAACAAACCCACAAAAATGGAGAAAACTAATCTATGACAAAGGAGAAACTGTAGAGCCATAGAGGAAGCTTCATCTTCTCAATAAATAATGCCACCTTAACTGGATATGTATATAAAAATAATGTTGGCACCTATGTCAGACCATATGCTAGATTTCATTTTAGATGGCTTGAATTTCCAAATGTAAATAAAAAGTTAAAATGCTTTTAGAAGACTTTGAAGAAGAATTTTTCCAAGATTGCAGCAAATTCTTAAAAAAAAAGTCATTTTTTTTGTAGATTCAGGAGGTACATGTACAGGCTTGTTACATGGGTATATTGCATGATGTTGAGGTTTGGGGTAAAAATGATCCTGTGTCCCACATGGTGAGGATAGTACGCATGTTTTTTAATCCTGTTTGTCCTCGTAATCTATTGAGGCATCTTTATGTCCATGAGTACCCAATGTTTAGCTCCCACTTTTAAGTAAGACCGTGTGGTGTTTGGTTTACTGTTCCTCTGTTAATTCACTTAGGATAACGGCTTCCAGCTGCATCCATGCTGTTGCCTCAAAGGACATGATTTTGTTCTCTTTTACGGCAGCATAGGATTCCATGGTCTATATCTACCATATATTTTTTAATCCATTCCTCTTCCCTTTTGATAATCACCTTGGTTGATTCCATGTCTTCACCATGGTGAACAGTGCTGAGATAAACACACAAGTACATGTGTCCTTTTGATAAGAATTTATTTTCTTTTGTATATATAACCAGTAATGGAATTGCTGGGTAGAATGATATTTCTCTTTTATGTTCTTTGAGAAATCTCCAAACTGATTTCCACAGGTGCTAAACTAAATTACATTCCCATTAACAGTATATAAGCATTCCCTTTCCTCTGTAGCCTCACCAGCACCTGTTGTTTTTTGACTTTTTAATAATAATCACTCTCAGTGGTGTGAGATGTTATCTCACTTTGGCTTTTATTTGCATTTCTCTGATGATTAGTGATGCTGAGCATTTTTTTCATGTGTTTAGAAACTTAAACAATTCAACAAGCAAAAAACCAATAACCTCACTAAAAAGTGGGCAAAAGACATGAACAGACACTTCTCAAACGATCACAGCAAATTTTGATGGTGTACCATTTGTATCCCCCAGCCCTTCTCTGAATACACCTACCTGTATTATGGACTGGTTCTGTATGTGCAGATAAATTTTCACATTAAGCACTGAGCTTGTCTTCTCTGTGTCAAGATTTTCTCTGGCAATATTGCTTGAGGTAATGATGCTACTCCTGCTAGGAACAATAATATTTGAATCAGCACACCATCTATGTTTTACTGGTATTATTTTCCAATTTTCCCAATCAGTATAAGCTAATTAGCCTCATAAAGGTGTGTGTTGTAGCGGAACACACTATACTTCTTAGGAAATATACTTTTTATTGAATTCTGCAGAAAGCAGATATTGTTAACTTTCCCCATTAGTGATGATAAATTTGATTACTTCATTAAGGCAGTGACCACCAAATGTTTTCCATTATTTTTAAAAAATGTTTTTCGAATTGCAAATAATCTGGAAGTGACATTTTATGATCACATGAATCCTCCTCTCCAAAATAATTCCCCTTCAATTTTAGGTGAATGATAATTTTTGCCTGAGTCAATCATTTCATTAACAGTTGAAAAATGTTAATTTTTTAAAAAATTTATTACCTTATGTTGTTCTGTAAAAATATTTTCCTCACCACTTGGGATTCACTGTATCTCCTCATTACACAAAGTAAATGTCTGGTTTCCATTTAATTATCAATTTTTAGAGTAAGAAATTGGTGTTGTAACTACTTTTGAAGATAGAATACTTGTTATATTAATTTGGTTTTATTATTCTTGCCTTTTTTTTTTTTGTAGAAAATCATGGCTTTCTTTTTCTTATTCTTTGAGGGACAGGGTCTCACTCTATTGCACAGGCTAGAGTGCAGATCACAGCTCACTGCAGCATTGAACGCCTGAACTCAAGCAGTCCTTCCACCTGAGGTTCCTGAAGCGCTTGTGACTTTTTATTTCTTCATCCTTTCCTTCTCTCTCTCTCCCTCCATTCTGTCCTTCTTTTATTCACTTGATTCTTTTTTTTTTTTTTTTGACTTTTAAGTTCAGGGGTACATGTGCAGGTTTGTTACATAGGTAAACTTGTCATGGAGATGAGTTTTAGAGATTATTTTATCACCCAGGTATTAAGCCTACTAACCATTAGTGATTTTTCCTGATCTTCTCCCTCCTCCCACCCTCCACCCTCTAATAGGCCTCAGTGTGTGTTGTTCCCTTCTATGTGTCCATGTGTTCTCATCATTTAGCTACCACTTGTAAGTGAAGACATGCAGTATTTGGTTTTCTGTTCCTATGTTTGTTTGCTAGGGATAACAGAATCCAGCTCCATCCATGTCCCTGCAAAAGACATGATCTCATTCTTTTTTATGGTTGCATAGTGTTCCTTGGTGTATATGTACCATATTTTCTTTATTCAGTCTATCCTTGATGGGCATTTAGGTTGATTCCATTTATTTGCTTTTGTGAATATTGCTGCAATGAACATACATGTGCATGTGTCTTTATAGTATAATAGAATTATTTATATTCCTTTAGATATATACCCAGTGATATAATTGTTGAGTCAAATAGTATTTCTGCCTTTAGGTCTTTGGGAAATCACCACACTGTCTTCCACAATGGTTGAACTAATTTACACTCCCACCAACATTGTATAAGTGTTTTTATTTTCCTCCACAACCTCGCCAGCATCTGTTTATTTTTTCTTTTTACTTCTTAATGGTAGCCATTCTGACTGTTGTGAAATGGTATCCAATTGTGGCTCTGGTTTGCCTTTCTCTAATAATCAGTGATATTGAGCATTTTTTCATATGAGTTGGCTATATGTATATCTTCTTTTGAAAAATGTCTGTTCATGTCCTTTGTCCACATTTTGGTTTTTTTTTTTTTCTTGTAAATTTGAGTTCCTTGTAGATGCTGAATGTCAGACCTTTGTCAGATGCATAGTTTGCAAAAATTTTCTCCCATTTTATAGGCTGTCTGTTTGCTAGGTTGATACTTTCTTTTGTTTTGCAGAAGCTCTTTAGTTTAATTAGATCACATTTGTCAATTTTTGCTTTTGTTGAAATTGTTTTTGGCATTTTCCTCATGAATCTTTTGCCTGTGCCTATGTCCTTAAAGGTATTGCTTTCCAGAGTTTTCATAGTTTGTGGTTTTACATTTAAGTCTTCAATCCATCTTGAGTTAATTTTTGTATATGGTGTAAGGAAGGGATCCAGTTTCAATCTTCTGCATATGACTAGCCGGTTATTCCAGCACCAATTATTGAATAGGGAATTCTTTCCCCATTGTTCGTTCTTGTCAGGTTTGTTGAAGATCAGATAGTTGTAGGTGTGTGGTCTTATTTCTGGGTTCTCTATTCTGTTTCATTGGTCTATGTGTCTGTTTTTGTACCAGTACTATGTTGTTTTGGTTACTGCAGTCCTGTAGTATAGTTTGAAGTTGAGTAGTGTGATGCCTCCAGCATTATTCCTTTTACATAGGATTGCTTTGGTTCTTCAGGATCTTTTTTTGTCCCATATGAATTTTAAAATAGTTTTTCTAGTTCTGTGAAGAATGTCAGTGGTAGCGTAATAGAAATAACACTGAATCTATAAATTCCTTTGGGCAATACAGCCTTTTGAATGATATTGATTCTCCTGTTTAACTAAAATCTTGTATCCTTTGACCAATATCTTTCATCCCAATCTTCCACCTTCTCCCAATCCCTGGTAACCACCATGACACTCTCTCTTCTATGAGTTCAAAGTTTTTAGATTCCATATATAAGTGAAGCCATACATTACTATCCTAGCTTATTTCACTTAGCATAATGTTCCTCATGTTTATCCATGCTGTTGCAAATTGCAGGATTTTCTTTTTTAAGGCTAAATAGTGTGCCATTTTTGTGTTCATGTGTATACATATAGAAATGTATACCATACTTTCTTTTTACATTCATTGACTGATGGACACTAATGTTAATTCCATATCTTGGCTGTTGGTAAACAATTTCATAATTAACATGGGAGTGTAGTTACTCTTTGACATATTTTATAAATATTATGAGTTCATATGAAAGTATCCAAATTAAATTAGTTATTACAAGTTGTTAGTAAATTTTCTTGAACTTATATTTGTATATCTTTTCTATTACATTTAAACTTTAATTCCTAACAATATTCATATAATTACTTGTTTGCTTTATCCTATATTTATACAATTATTTGAAATTGTATTATCAACATAAATATGAACAGTAACCTAATAAGTAAGTGTAAGATTATTTAGCAGATTATTAAATGTACTATGCTACTAATATCAGAATTTGTTTGATAAAAATCTGCCTCATGCAAGTGAGCACAGAAAAACAATCTGCAGAGAGAACAAATAAAAAGACAATTTAAAAGAGAAGTGAAGATGTGAGACCATGTATCCCTAGGTATCACAGAGAATATCCTTGGTTCATTTTTGATTGATGTCTTTCTAAGTCTTTGTTTCAGGATACCCTGAGACCTATTGCTTGATTCATCTTTGGTTATTATGACATATATTTTAATACATTAAATATTTTAAGAACAAATATTTAATAATAAAAATGTTAATATTCCATCATCACCATAGTTTCTTTTTTTTTTTTCTTTGCATGTTGTTTGTTTGTTTCTTGGAAGCAATTAATACCTTGAAAAATTAAAAAAAATTCATTTAAAAGTTGATAAATCTAATAATTGGGGCTATGACAAAACTAGCACAAAGGCTCACAACTAGGATAAATGAGTACTAGGTTTGTTTAACACTATACTGATATTATCCTTTAAAATATTAGACATTTTCTATTTTCCCAGATGATCCAAGAACTTATTTTCAAGGCTTACCTTGTCTCTTTGGTGTGAAGTAAGTTCATTACCAGAATTTTTTTCCTGCAAAAGATTTGACCATTGAGAATATATCTTATGAGCAGAGGAGAATATTTTGGAAACTATACAATTGTGAAAAACTATAGCTCAAATGCATTTGACCTCTTACAGTTAATCCAAATAATTAAGAACTAAATATGCAAGAATCACTACAGGCATGAGCATCAAAATAGGTCTGTTTCTAGTGATACCAACTTAGCAGCAGGAGTCATTGGAAAATAACCAGAAATTTTTTGCTTTTTACTGTTTTCAGAAGAGTACAACTCTCTCAGCATTAAGTTTTTCATGTCAGCCAAAGCAAAAAGAAGGAAGAACCAAAGCTTTCCCACATTTGCTTTACTTTATGCCTATCTCATATGAGAATTTTAGCAAAGTTTTCTCTCTGGATTATAAAAACAGAAATCTGTTTGTGGTAGATAAGTGGGAATCTATATAAGAATATGTATAATTATAGCAAAAATTAATTAGTTGGTGATTTATAAATTTTACGTGCAGTTTGTCTAGAACTTTTATGGTAATCATGACATTAATATTTTAGGAGTCAAATAATCCACACAACACAAATCTATTTTCAGTAACTTTTAGTACCTCACATGTTAACTTCTAATTGTTAATTTTACCTCAGTGCCCTACTAGGACCATTTCCTCATTTGTATGCAGTTTTATAAAGTTTTTGGAATATTTTAGACTTGTATTTGAAGAACTATTTTTTAGAATATTTTAAAATTTACATTGCTGAAAAGCAATTTAAAAGTACATGATAAATGATATCTTTAAAACAAGTTTCAAGTTTTGATAGAAGCAAGTAGTTAGTGGCCAAAAAGTGACTTTCTTTCTATGACAATTCCAGAATTATATGTAAAGCCATGGACAATAATATTAGCTGTTACCTGCACAAAATGTGCCTTATTTTCCAAGTCAATCATTTATCTTTTATGGATCAATTTCTAACTTCATTCAATAAATTTTTTCCTTACTTTCAAACTGCTTACCTTACATTACCTTCTAGCAAATTGTGATAATATTGTTACTCTTAAGGCAGATAGATTTAGAATTAGTGTATCCTCATAATGTAATATTTTACTATTAAAATATTATATTAGTACCATATATATCAACTTTTTAAATAATTAAATGAATGTTTTAATATAACAGTAAAGAGTATATAAAATATAATCATATGATTGATATGAGATTGATTATTTTTAAAAGGAAACTACCATTTCATTGATAGAAAGAAGCAAATTGTGTAGAGTCATTTTAGGATTAAGCACCTGCAATATATTCTGATATCCAAGAACAGAACTAGGCTGAAGCTAAAATGAAGCCTTGTGTGATCATTTTCAGCATTATAATTTTCTGCAAAATTTGAGTGATTTGCAAAACTGTGATAGATTTCCCTGAATAGGATGGTGGCAAAGGCTTTGTAGATTCAAAAATAGTTTTGCTGAGGCAATGAGAAGTAATACTATCAGATGAGAAGTTGGTTTACCAAGCTAAAAAAAAAAAAAAAAAAAAAGCTGAGAAAAATTTTGCCTCTAAACATTGCAAAGTCCTACTTCCCTTATTTTTGTATAATTATTTTTCATTTTGCTCTTAATATTTCTCTACTGAGGAAAAATATAATTGTATTTGCAATTCAATAATTAAAGTTGTCATTAAACAATAAAAATTTTATAAATGTAGTTATCAAAAGTGAGTTTACATTTCTGGAATGATTTGAGAATGTTTCTAAGCTAAAATATATAAATGTTGTCATTAAGCTCCCGCTTATAAGCGAGAACATGCAGTATTTGGTTTTCTGTTATTGTGTTAGTTTGTTAATGATAATGGCCTCCAGCTAATACCTGAATGATGAAAAATTCTGTAAAACAAATCGCCATGACACAAGTTCACCTATGCAACAAAGCTGCACATGTGCCCCTGAACTTAAAATAAAAATTAAAAAAAAATCTAAATTAAGAAAAATATTTTTAGATGCTGGGCTTTTGAATACTTAACACAGGACAATATCTCATAAGCATGTTTTCACCTTCTCTGAAGTAATATTACCCTCTGTTTTTGCTAATGCTTGAAAAAGTTACTTCATGTAAAATTTTAATATTTATAGTTGTTGATAGGATGATAAGGCTCCTATCATAAGAATATCAGCTACTTCATTATGATCAGAACCAGAAGTCCCAAGTACAGGCAAATCATAACTTTCTTCAAAAGTGTATAGCTTAAACAATTTCTAACTTTTTTATAATTGTAATATCTCATTTGAAAACTTTCAGTTCTGATATATTTTTATTTTTCCTACAATTCTTAGAAACTGTTGAAGGGAGCATAAGCTTCCCAAATGAGCTAGAATTTCCATAAACAATAAAGACTCTGAGCAAAACTTATTCCTTGACTCATTTAACTGTAGACCCAGTTGAAGCTTTCAATCAATTATGGTTTTAATTTAAAGTAATAAAAATAACATCTTCCTAAAAATTAAATTGAGGCAACTAAATATTTTGTGTCAGTTCTAGAATCCTCATGAGATATCATAATACTTGGTCACTGACAATAGACACTGAATTTACATGTAAAACTTAGAGGCAAAAGGCTTCATATCCCATTATGTGTTCCCTCAGTCATGAAACTGAGACTTTTTAGAAACTGCAGTATAGAGATTTCATGCTTATTAAGGAAGGCCAAAGTGTGATGATCCAATGAAATGTGACCAGTTTGGAGGGAAAGAGTCACTCTTTACAAATGGTGAAGGATTTAATAATTTATTTAAAATTTAGGAACATAAAGAATGTTAATAAGAATCCTACAATACATATTCAGCAGGCTAAACTGCTTAAAATTATGCCAGTAAATAGATTATTTTTTATGTGGCAGGAATTTGTTGTTTTAAACTAAGTGCTGGAGAGAGAAGAGGTCACAAATGCACTTTTTTTTTTTTCCAGTTTAGGCCATAGGTTTTTCTTGCTTGAATCCTTAAACAATTCAAGGATTCAGCAATTTGGCTGTGGTTTAGGTTCTTAATTTCCTGCCAAACTTCTTGTTGTTCAGAACAGGCAAAAATACATCTATTTTGATCATAATTATGCCAAGCATCTTTAACAGCCTATACACAAGACATAAAGAAAAAGTGAAAGGAAGATGCTGACTTAATTCAGTTGAAGACTTAATTAGGAACTCAATTCTATCAGACATTTAATATTGTATTTTATTCTCATATTTTTCTAATAGAAAATAATGGCATGGCAATTGTATATGATTATGAATAGCTATTTATGGAACTGGTTCTTGCGTCTACACTTAATTACATTTTGTTTGGAGGTTAACATATTACAACTGTAGCTTTTATTTCAATCTATTCTTATAGTTTTTCTTTCTCATTAGGACTTAGATTGCTGGTTTGTAGGATCTCTTGCTTATGATTTTCTCTATTTCTGTTTTCTATTTCTAGGCCTATTCTCTAGTGCATTATTCTTGATGACTTTTAAGTCATTTACGGTTAGA
This sequence comes from Homo sapiens, assembly GCF_000001405.40. Classification (NCBI taxonomy): domain Eukaryota; kingdom Metazoa; phylum Chordata; class Mammalia; order Primates; family Hominidae; genus Homo; species Homo sapiens. The sequence continues at coordinate 93,736,906 of NC_000006.12, read as the reverse complement.
AGAAAAGCAATAATTCATTTTTGCCGTATGCTGGTCTTGATAAACAATGTATTTATATGCTAAATAAAAACATGCTGTATATTTTGTGATTCCTAATGAATACATTTGATTTTTGTTTAGCTTGTCTTCTGTCTTTACCCTGCTATCTACCTATTCTGCTACAGGATCATAATTCCTAAAGCCTACCCACCTCAAGTCACACAAATATACATTGAAATAATCATGGATATTCACCATAAACATGGAATTGTTCAGTATGTTTCATCGCTTCATGTTTCTTCCTATCCTGCAAAATAATTTAGAGTCATTCCTTTATTTACAAATATCATAGAATTAATGCATTTTATGTAACCAATAATAAGTCTCAAGAAAGATGAGACTAGATTCATGTTTCCATTAACATCCTTACTTGACAGCAGCATGATTTCTGTAACGTCTAACACTATACCTGACCTAATCGTTTTCACTATTTAGTAATCCCTTGCTAAGTACTTTACAAAGTTACTCTAAATTATACTGGATGAGACTATTTAAATAAATAAATCACATAATTGCATTTTATTATTATTTTATATTACCTAGAAATGAAGTCAATATTATACTTCATAAATTGAAACCATGTCTTGCTAACATGTTATGATATTCCAACCAACAAATAGGTTCTTATTTTTACTCATGGGATTCTGTAATCAATAACTGGCTGGTAAAGAATATGTCGAAATCAATCAAGTTGTAGATACACACTCAATGGATGGATGAAGAGAGGCACTAGGTCTGCTCATAAAATTGCACTTTCCATCTGACAATAGAAGCTATTTTTTCATTAGAGTTCCAAATATCTCAGTGTTTGGGGAAGTCTCCAGGTAATATATGCAGTGAAGAATATTACTAGGCACTGGGAAACAATAGGCTTCCATCAATCAACATATATTTGAATATGAACAGCTTTTAGGGAAGCTTTGGGTATTTTTTCTTTCACTGACATTGATGTTAATTAAGTATCATAATTTAATGAACCCCCAAGAAGATTGACATTTGTACAATTAATCTTCACCTGGCACACAAACCTGATCCTCTGAATCAGAATTTCAGACAACAGGTACTGCCGCTGTGCACATACAATTCTGACACCGACTTGGCTTCTAAGTCTCCCATTATATTCCTAAGCATGGCAGCATAAAATAAATGAAGCTAGACAAGGCTTCAGACACAATCTTGCTTTACTCACTTGAGATGAGTATATAGAATGAGTAGGGACACCATCAACTCTGCTAAGGTTTACTAAAAATCCAGGGCAGCCATGGTGGGATAACAAAATAATAATTTATAAAATGTCTTCCATTATATTTGCATATGTTTTTACATGCATTCTCATTTATTCTAGATTCTGGTTAAGGTATTTGCTTTTACCTGCTCAAATTTACCGAGTAATTTCCCACTGGAGGACTCATTACCTCTGAATTTTTATTCCGCCTTTGTTTGGGGGATAAAATGCTCAGCTTTCTTAAAATAGTCACTGGCCAGATAATAGACTCACAATGAATGGCTTACTCCAGTGTTTTTCAGCTTCTAGGGTGACGCACTGATGGGTTTTTTATAACAATTTGTTGAAGTGTAACTAGCATTTGTTTACTTATGGAATGGAATGGAGTAGACTAAAGTAGACCAGAATAGAATAGAACAGAATAGAGTGAATTGCACATAGCAAAGCTAAGTGTTTTTCAGTTATATAGATGTGTGTGTATCTGCATTAGATTGTAATGCAACATGTATTTTTGCATGTATTTATCATTGTGGGTTGCCAAGTTAAAAACATTTGAAAGTCACTTGCTTTTTCTAATCAGGACTCACTCCAGGAGACAAGGTATTATAGCCGAACTGCATGACTGATATGTAAGTGAGAGAAGTGAAATGGATAATGAGAAGACAACTCCAATGCCTACAATGATGAAATTGTAACATGACCCCAATTTTTAACCTCTCCCCTTAAATTGCAGATAAGATCTATGGATATGATGAGATTACTCCTGAGATTAGGTTACTTTTTTTTTTGAGACAGAGTCTCGCTCTGTCGCCCAGGCTGGAGTGCCCTGGCATGATCTCCGCTCACTGCAAGCTCCGCCTCCCGGGTTCACGCCATTCTCCTGCCTCAGACTCCCGAGTAGCTGGGACTACAGGTGCCCGCCATCACGCCCAGCTAATTTTTTTGTGTTTTTAGTAGAGACGGGGTTTCACCGTGTTAGCCATGATGGTCTCGATCTCCTGACCTCGTGATCCGCCCGTCTTGGCCTCCCAAAGTGCTGGGATTACAGGCATGACCCACCGCGCCCAGCCGAGATTAGGTTACTTTATAATGCAAAGATGAATGGATTTTGCAAATATAATTAAGGTTTCTATTGAGTTGTATTTGTGTTAATCAAAAGAAAGATTATCCTAGGTGGGTCTGACATAATGACATGAGCCTTTTAAAAAAGGATCTAGAGGTAAAAGAGAAGAAGCAGTAGTAGATTTGCTTTCCTTGGCCTTTGAATATCAAATTGCCATGTGGAGAGGGTCATGTGGCAGGGAATAGTGGATAAGTTCTAGAAATCAAGAGCTTCTATCCTGCTACTACAAGGAAATGAATTGTAGCAACAACCAAGGAGCTGAAAGGAGATTTTTAACTTCAGATAAGATTGCAGTCTCGCAGCTGACACCTTGATGTCAGCCTTGTGAGACACAGAACAGAGGAACCAGTTAAGGTGTGGTCAAACTTCAGGGGAAAAAAAAAAATCCTGAGGTAATACATGACTACTAAGTTACTAAATTTATGAAAATTTGCTATACAGCAATAGAAAACAAATATAGTTGTCTATCTAGATTCTAGAAGCATGGTATCCCTTTTCTTTGTCACAAAGCCCTAATTGATCACTGCTGGGAGAGACAACATTTGTTTTTACTATCCAGTTGAGTTTCTGCAGCCAGATCTATAATTAGTAGTTCCCTTCACACTAGTGCATGTCAAATGAGTGTCTTTCCCCTCCTGACTTTTCATTATATGCCCTAATCCTTGTGAAAAGCACAGGGAAAAATATACCTGGGTAAGAAGGAGCTTTTGGAATATAATCCTCACATATTTGTAAAGTAGATAATATTAACCTGCTTTGCAGTGAGAAAGCTAGAATTCAGAGGGGTTCAGGGAATTTTTTTTTTTTTTGGAACACATAGCTGCTATAGCTAAGTCTTAGAGTCTCTCTAAAATTATTATTTTCTCATTCAATTTCTCTCTTTTTTTTTTCTTTTTGAGACAGAGTCTTACTCTGTCAACAGCCCAAGCTGTCTTGCAGTTGCTTGATCTCGATTCACTGCAACCTCTGCCTCTTGGGTTCAAGCAATTCTTCTGCCTCAGCCTCCCGAGTAGCTGGGATTACAGGCGTGCACCATCATGCCCAGCTAATTTTTGTATTTTTAGTAGAGATGGGATTTCACCATGTTGGCCAGGCTGGTCTCGAACTCCTGACCTCATGATCCACCTGCCTCGGCCTCCTAAAGTGCTGGGATTACAGGTTTGAGCCACTGTACTCAGCTCAATTTCTCAAAGCAATAAAAAATTTAATTTGTTCACTGTAAAGCAGAGTTCAAAGTAAGATTAGTTGTGTGATTTTAGCAAAGTTACCTAACCTAGCTGAACCTCTATCTTCACATTTCCATATTTGGCACACACGTGTGTCTGTGTGCGCCTGGGTGGTGGGGGGAGAGAGAGAGAGAAGGACAGTGGTATTTAGCTACACTTCAGAGTTGGAAATTAATGAGATGACTACTGAATACATATTTTAAAATTACTTTAATCACTGTCCAAATTCTGTAAGCTGTCTTTATTATGTAACAAAACAGTTTATAATTTAATTTCAAAGTTAAAGTGGACTAATATCCCCCAGCAATTCAGTAAAACCTTTGCAATGCAATTTTTCAATAACTGAAAATTTAGGATGATTTAAATAGAATGAGATCTGAAATTAAAGAGGGAAAAAAGAATAAGCTATGCATACTAATAGAGAAGAGAAGATATCCAGAAGAAATTTAACATATTTAAAAACATTTTATTGTAATAAGATATTATTTACTATAAATTATCCTTAGATAGGTTAAAAGATCTATACCTAGTAAATTTTTATTAAATATTGTCATAAATATTTGTGTACCTGACTTTACATTGAGTAACTATTTATGTTATTTGAATTTGTCTAATTGAATTTGCTTCCTATAATTTATTTGCCACTTTAATGAGTTTTTTTGTCCAAAGCTTAAAAGTTGTAAATCAAAATTATCTGAATATGTTAAAACTTTAAAATGTCTAAGAAATTTTTGTAAAAATAAAATCTAAATCTAATTTCTAAATGATTTTTACCCTTTCCCCCGAAAAGAATCAGTTCTCATGGCTTAAAATTGTATACAAAAAGCATCATCTGACAAACAGTATTTAAAACGGAAAACAATCCATGAATATGGATCTTAGTAGAAGTTAATTGTGCACTCACAGCACACATCTGCACTAGATAGAAGCTAACCCTTTCATTAGTACAGTAGAATAAGAAGGTGCCTGCTTTTGCAAATCCAAATTAATGACATTCTGGTGTCTCTGTATGTGTACATTTATGGTTTGCATGTCTTCACTTATCAGGGATCATGGTGACAATGACTACATGACTAATATTCCCTTTTACATTCATCAGAATTTTTTTTGCCAAAATTTATTACAGTACCTGATATATGGGAAAAGATTTTTCTTCAGATTTATAGTAACTGTTTTTAAACACTGATTGGAAGGCGTTTTTGTTGATTTTTAAAAATAATTTGTTATATCTAATATTGATATTTACATTTAATTATCACAGCATCTACTTCCAAGGGTTCTTCCAAATTCTTCTACCTTCTTTTGGATAGAAAGAAAGAAAATATTTTAGTACAGCTGTGCAATGTGCTTTGGTTTTAAACTAAGTGTTATTACAAGAGTCAAAAAGTTAAAATTTTATGAAGTTTATAAAGAAAGAAAGTTACAGTACATTAAGATTAATATATAATTGAAGAAAGAAATTTCTTTATAAATTTAGTGTAGCCAAAGTTTGCAATATTTATAAAGTCTACAAAGTGTACATTAATGCCCTGGACCTTCACATTCACTTACCACTCAATCACTCAATGACTCACTAGAGTAACTTCTAGGACTGCAAGCTTTCTTTACTCATCGTAAGTACCCTACACAAGTGTAATATGTTAAAAGACTTTAATACTGTATTTTTACTGTAACTTTTTAATGTCTGTACATAATTGCACATAATTGTACACAATTTCTTACCATTGAGTTAAATTGGCCATAAAATTCAGTACAGTAACATGCTGTACAGTTTTATAGCCTAGGAACAATAGGCTACACCATATAGGCTGGGTGTGTACTAGGTTGTACCATCTACTTTGTGTAAGTACATGCTGTGATGTTCTGCAATGACTAAATCATATAATGACACATTTCTCAGAGCATATTCCTGTCATTAAATGACATATACTTATTTTACATCTTGTCTGGCAATTTTGGCTATTCTTTTCAGAGTAAAATCTCTGAGTTATGATTACTAAATAACCAGGTGATAACACATTGTTTTTCCAGATGAAGAGGAGCTTGGTAGAAGAGTATATTAATTAACATTTGCCACAAAATCTCGGTGACTTTCACAGCAATAATCCTCAAATGTTTTGGTCATAGAACCACTTTTTCCCTTAAAAACTAGATCCCAAAGAGCTTTTATTTCTGTAGGAGATATATAAATATATATATTCCTTATTAGAAAATATATTGAATTCAGTTTTAAAATATTCTTATACATAACATAAACTCATTACATGTTAAAATCAATATAATGTGTTTTATTAAAATAACTATATTGTTTAGAATATTAATGATAAGAGTAGCATCATTTTTCATTTTTGTAAATCTCTGCATTGCCTCACTTATTAGAAAATAGCTAGATTTTCATACCTACTTCTACATTCGGTCTGTTGCAATATGTTATTTGGTTGAACTATACGAAGAAATTCTGATCTCACACAGACATGGAATGGGACCTTACAGACCCCTGAAGGGTCTCAGAGACATGTAATTCTATTCCTTTCATTGCTTTCATTTTCACTTTTCTTTTTTAACCAGTTTACACTGATTACCCTTGGACTTTGTTTTCTTTTTTCCTTTAATGCCTTACATATTTTATTTCATTTTCCTTTCCTTTTGTATTGTTCTTTACCTTATTGTCTTTTTAATTACTCCTTCCCTTGCTGACCTCTAGCTCCCTTCTCCACTTTTCCTTCCTCCCCTTGAAACCCTTTCTACCCTGTTCTCTTCAAGTGATATACAACACTGAAGTGTCTTTCTAAACACAGAATTATCTTGAGAGATATTGGGAAGATATGGTATTTTTTGTATCTCCCTAAATTTTTTTTCTGTAAAGAGCACTATCCAGTAATACAGACCAAACCAAAAAAAAAAAAAAAAAAAAAAAGATGGTGAAGGGGATAATGTTTCATTATCCACTTTCCATTAAACTGGGGCTGGATGTAGAAAAGAGTTGAAAGAAAAGAGATTTAGGATGTATTCTGGAAGGAGATGTCAATCCAAATATCTCATCTCATGATTCTTCTTCCAAAATACATCCTAAATCTTTTTTTTATCAATCAACTCCTCTTTTCTACATCTAATGCCAGTTTAATGAATGATTTCCCCTTTTTTGTGGTATTACAGCAGCCTACTAATTGGTTGTCCTACTCTTCACTTGCCCGATCACACTACCACCACCACATTAATTCTCATTCAGTGGCCAATGTGATTGTCATAGATGCTCTTGGTGATCCACTTTGAGGTCCTTTTCCAGCTGGGGCACTCATGGCCCAGCTGTTGTGTCAGATGATAATAACTCACAGCTGACCATGGTCTTCTCTGGAGTATTGACTTACAGCAAATGCAAGTTCCAATGAAACTTTTTGATAAATTCCAACTTCTTCATTATTACCTACAAAATACTCCCTTAACAGGTTCCTGCCCACCAGCTGACTTTGTTTCCTGTCAGCAAGCTAGAAAAAGTCCTTACCTGGGGCATTTGCTCTTCAGTCCAGAATGCTCTTCCCCTAATATTTGCAGAGCCAGTTGGTCATGTTCAGGTTTCAGCTCCAATCTAAACTTCTAGTAGTAGGGACTTTTTCACCACTCTGTCCAAATGTACCTTCTACCTTCCCTTTCTCAGTAACTCTGTTAAGTTACTACAGATGTTTTATATTTTTCAGATAATTAATTACCATCAAAAATTATATATGTATTTGTTTATTTTTATTACATCTCCTTACCCATATTAGACTTTATATTAGTACAAATAAACTTTTGTTGGCTTAATCTTTTGAGATTATATTTTTTACATCTGCAGGCATGTATTATCTAGACTGAAAATAGAACATCAATAGTATGTATCCTTTTCTTCATAAAGTTCATAATCTAGTAAAAGAGAAAGTAAAGATATACAAGTGTATTAGCTGTCTATTGCTGCAAAGCCAATTACTGCAAACTCAATAGCACAAAACAATAAACATTTATTATCTCACAGTGTCTGAGGATCAGGAATCTAGGTGTCTTAGCTGGGTAGTTCTGTCTTGGGATCACTCACAAAGTTTCAGCCACATACTGGCCGGAGCTATAGTTATTATCTCAAGGTTCAATGGGGAGAAGTGAATATGAATATCATTCATTTCCAAGATAACTGATATTGGTGGGTTTCAGTTCCTCACGATGTGGGCCTCTCCAAAGGTTGCCTGAGCAGCAACAATATTGGCTTCCCCAGAGTGAGTAATTCAGGGAAGAGAGGAAGAAAAAGAGAGTGAGAAGAGCAAGAAAGAAATAAAATTCTGGAAGGAAACCTCAGATTTTTATAACCTAATCTTGCAAGTGAAATCTTATTACTTCTGCCATATGCTATTCAATAGAAAAGAATAACTAAGTCTAGTCCTCACTCAAAAGGAGATGAATTAAGCTGTGTATTTTGCAATGAGGAGTATCAAAGAATTTAGAGATGTATCTTTTAAATGACTACAATAAGTTAGCAAGGTTACATTGAAAAATTCCATTAATATAGGCAGAGCATTCTAAGAATTTATAAATATATAAGAACAAGTTAAATTAAAGTGATAAGTAAAGGTTTAAATGAAAAAATGGTTACTGATGCCTTTTGATACATGAATATTTGATAAAAATCACTTTAGGTAGAAGAAACAAAGAAACTGCAGAATTTGATTGAGGAATAGAAAATAGTTTGATCAGGGCAAAATTTTATGTGAGAGAGGAGGATTGGTGATCTGTTGCTGAAGGAAGAAAGCCACCTATTCCTGTTCTTCTTTGATTTACAGATGGCCAGAAAATAATAAAAGAAAATAAAAAAATCTTTGCAAATGCTTATGGCTTAATCAGCATAGCCCTGCTCTTAGAGAAAGTGAAGCAGCAGCAGCTGTGTGAGATGTGATTCAGGATTCCATCCAGTTGCCTGCTTTCCAGCATCCTTACAACTTGCATAGTGCTAGACGTGCATGTATCCTTCCCTCCAGCAAGAAAATGTCTCAATTTTTCAATCGGAGCTTGCACTCCATCTGAGATTGCACCCTATTAAATTTCAATGAATAACTCATTTTATTGACTAATACATCTCAGAAGCATGATAAATACTTTTATGGCCCCTTTTATTGTGCAAGTGCTTTATCAATGTGAATATTCGGATTTGCTTTTTCAACTGAGAGTATGCTAATACATAAAACCAGGCAAATACGTTACTCAGATAGACAGCTAAATCCTGGGTTGGGGTAGAAGTAGAGTAAAGGAATTAGCTAATAATTTTCAAACTGATCGATTAAGTCAAAAGCTCAGACTATCCACCAGATTGAAGCTTTGTTTAAACCTTATTAATTACAAACTTGGAGGACAAAAGAAGACTGACCACAAAAGTTTAGAATTCTCGAAGTGGGCTTAAATTCTTTCATTTATCTTGGGAGGGAGCAAAGATATTACTTTTATCAAAGTTTATACAAGAGTAACCCTAATGGTGAAGTTAAGCTCCTGAGACATTTTATAGTACATAAATCTCCAATATGTGACATGTTTTCTGATGCCTCACCAAAGGCAAACATATTATAAGATGCAACTGACACACTACTTCCAAACAGAAGCCAGGGAACTGCCAACACTTGTAATGGCCAAACATAAAAACGATTAGGTCATCATATCAGATTGTTTGCCCGTTTGTGTAATACTGTTGGAAAATATGTTCTGACAGTCTCAAAAACAATATAATTTTTTTGAGAATTGAGGATGACATAACCTTTTTATGATTTTACAAACGTTATAAAATATAAGATCTATCTAGAGGGTAATTTCACCTTGATTTTCAATTAACCAAACAGGGTAAATACCATTAGTCACAATAACTTTTACAACTTCAGTCATTATCCATCAAACTACTTTGTGGATCATTTCTGTTTTTATAGTTGGAATAAATAAGCATGGCATAAAACACATCAAGTCTTTTCGTCCTGCAGTACCTAAACTCATCTATCTCCTATGCACATTTCAAGCTATGAAGAGTTTTTTGTATATTCTACATCCTTTAAAAAAATGGTGGGCAAATGTTTAACACAGTAAACTAAACAGTGTGGAAATGGAGAAAATTTGTGCTTATATTTAATAAAAATTAAGGGAAGTGTTTATTTAGAAAATATATGCTTTTAGTATTAATCAAGAATGTGCTGCAGCACACTATCAATTTCTTTCTTCTTCTTTTTTTTTTTTTTTTTTTTTCAGACGAAGTTTCACTCTCGTCACACAGGCTGGAGTGCAATGGCATGATCTCCACTCACTGCAACCTCTGACTCCTGGGTTCAAGTGATTCTCCTACCTCAGCCTACCAAGTAGTTGGGATTACAGGTATGTGCAACCACGCCCAGCTAATTTTTTTTTATTTTATTTTATTTTGTATTTTTAGTAGAGACGGAATTTCAGCATGTTGGCCAGGCTGCTCTTGAACTCCTGACTTCATGTGACTGGCCTTCTTCAGCCTCCCAAAGTGCTAGGATTACAGGCCTGAGCCACCATAACCAGCCCACACTATCAATTTCTTTTTCTTTTTGTTTTTTTAAGACGGAGTTTCACTCTGTCACCCATGCTGGAGTGCAATGGCGTGATCTCGGCTCACTGAAACCTCCGCCTCCCAGGTTCCAGCGACTCTCCTGCCTCAGTCTCCCAGGTAGCTGAGATTACAGGGACCCACCACCACGCCCAGCTAATTTTTGTAGTTTTTAGTAGAGACGGGGTTTCACCATGTTGGACAGGCTGGTCTCAAACTCCTAAACACAGGTAATCCTCCCGCCTCAGCCAACCAAAGTGCTGGGATTACAGGCGTAAGCCACCCCACCTGACCCACACTACCAATTTCTAATGCTAATTTGGCACAGTCAGTTTCTAAAGGTTACTTACCAATCCTTAATAAGAAATACACACATTCTAAGGAGACAGCATTTTCTTACACTTGTAAGATAAATTACTGTTAGGTTTATTTGTGTTCCTTGTCCTCACTCACTCACACGTTTGAGCCAATAGCTCTCATCATTAACTTCCGGGAAGGAATAATTAACCCAACGCTTTAAAGCCATCACAGGGGTCTCAATATCCGGTATTTCTCTTCCCAGTCTCACCCTGTGTTTTTTCTCCCTGTTTTGTTTTCCTTTTTTAACAAATTACCCACCATTTTTAACAGCACTGCTTCTGAAATCAGTCAACTCTACTTAAATGGTTCAAGCAATTGGATGCAAAAGTACAGTTTAAAATTTCACAGGCTCTATTTTAAAGAGGGAAAGCAAACTTCCTCAGGAAGAACAATATCCAATAAGGAGTGTGGAAAGTTGCATAAGACAGTCAGTGGTGGAAGGCTTAAAATATAGTTCCCTAAACATCTTTCATATAGACTAGCTCTTCTTTTCTCAAAATTGCTCATTTCTCAAATACTCCATCTTTCTCATAATTCCTTTAAAATGTAGTGTGCATGTATATATATATATATATATATATATATATATATATATAGTGTCAGTATCTGAAATGAAGAAATTACGTTGTGATATCTTACCTTTAATTTTCTATTATTGTTTCGACACATAGAGTATATATCTTATCTCATTTAGAAATACACACAACCCTATGAAAGATCTTTCGGTAGCCCCATCTTAATACTGAGGAAGGTGAAGTTACAGACATTTTTTAAGCCATCTCAAGCCTTTTAGGCATTCAGCCCCACAATGGAACTCAGCCCCCTGTCTCTTTATCTTAAGTTCAGCATTCCTAAGGTGATACCTGCTGGAATCCAAGTATTTCTCCATAATCTGAAAAGCCAAGTTTTCTGCTCTCATTTCAAATATATTTTTTTTTTTGCGACTAGTGCTGTGGACTGAATTGGGTCCCCCCAAGACTCGACTCATATGTTGAAGTCCTAATGCACAATGTGATGGTATTTGGAGACGGAGACAATGAGAGCTAATTAGGGCTACATGTGGTTATGAGGGTGGGGCCCTCATGATGGAATTGTTGTTATAAGAAGAAGAAGTGCAAAAATTGCTTTCTCTCCAACATATTATGACACAGGATGAAGATGGCTGTCTACAAGCCAGAAAGAAGACTTCTACCAGAAATTGTATTGAGTGGCACCTTGAATTTAGACTTTCCAGTTTCCAAATTTGAGAAATAAATGTCTGCTCTAAAGTCACCAGTCTATGATTTTTTTAATAGAAGCCCAAGCTAATATAAACAGTTATACAATTCTCATCTTCATAAATTCATTAACTTAGAAATATAACCTTTTTGGGCCCCATATTTTTCTATTGCTTAAATTTTTAAACAATTTTATTAGACTAATTAATGCTAATGATGTTTATCTGTCTCTCACTTTGATTCCCTTTTATTGATGGAATATTCACTTTTTCTTGTCTTCTTCATGGCTTCTCAGAAGGGCTTAATAATGACTGATTTAATCAGAATGTTTGCAGAAGCAAGTAAATTACGTTGGGTCACTAGGTAGTCAGTTTAAATGAAATTCATAGATACAGAAGAATCACAAAAAATAAAATTAGTTAATATACTAATTTAGTTAGGAAAGTTATTCCAATTCCAGAAACTTCAGTAGAAGTCACCATCCAGAAAACTCACTATCCTTTGCAGGAGATCAAATAAATGGTGTTTTAGTTAAAAAGCAAAGGAAGGTTTAGAACTATGGATAAGTTTCAAATAAAAACTAAATACATTATGTTATATTCTAATTTCTCACTATCATTATTAATATTCAATCATTGTCTTATAATCTGTTTGAATTATTATCTCTTTTTAAGAAGAACATGCTCATATTCATAAAACAATAGGCACCTGTCACAGGTTGGTTTACCTGAAGCAAACACTGATGTGATATTTGGGATTCATGATAGGATTAAACATATCAGATAAAATGTTTAGAATATTTTAATGCTAAAATATTCAAAGGATCACTTAAACTGAGTATAGCCATTGGAAAATACAAAATAATTGTTTTTCCTTCTTTCTTTTTAATAGATGGAAATCTTTAATCTGAAACTCTTCTTTGAGAGGAGTTTAATTAGTAAAATTCTAGTCCCCTCTCTCTTAGCTCATTCTGTCCATGGTAGGTGGAGTGATTTAAGAAATTTATAAATTTGAGAAAGAATAGCTGGACATACCTGGCTTCACTCTGGCCTTCTTATTCCTCTGGGAAGCTGAACAAAGAGAATATAAGTTCTACCCTGCTCTTCCCGGGCAGGCTTCTATGTTTCTGTTTGTGGACAAAGGGTAAACACCAGTGTAATTTTAGTGCTTGCTACAAATAAAAGCATAAAAGCCACATACTAAACTGGCCTCTCTTCAAAATAAAAGAGATATTTGATATTCACCTTTGCTCTTGGTGTAATTTCTCACTATTTCATTATCTAAACATGAAAGTGGGTGTTCTGAGAGTTTTCCTCAGGAACTCCCAATAGCTCTAAAAAATACACAGAACAAAATCTTAATTTGTCTCGTAACAGTGAGTTCAAATTACTTTTCATATGAGTAAAAGAAAAAGGAAAATTAACAAGTAAATTAGAAGAGAATAATTCTGCTTTCACTTCAAGGTAATCAAAATTCTTAGTATCACTATCTGATAGTAACACAACACAATAAATAATGTAAAAAACTGAAGTTTTTATCTACTATGCCAAATATGATTCCTCTGGTTTCTTTTTGTTTGTTTAAGAAAGTATTCTAAAAAGTTAAATTGACCAAATGGGCTACTTATACTGGCATTGTATAATCAGAGTCAGAAATGTTGAATAAACAAATCAATAAAATGGAGCTGTATATTAAAAACAACAAGCAGGGTTTGTCCTAAATGTTTGCCCCATAGCCAGGTTTACTTTGAGCCAGCATGTAAAAGATTTTGTGATTAGGCCCCAAAGCACAAAAATACCAATTAATTATGATGATTAGATATGTCTTCATTAGTAGTCTATAAATAAATCATGCAAAGCATTATGCAGTCAGCTATCCTGGAAAAATATTCTTCTAAAGGGCTGTGAAAACAGCTTAATTAATTATAAATGCTTTGAAACTTAGCACATTATATTTTGAAATGTTAAAGCATACATACATACACATGTTATATATGTTTGGAGGTATTTGTCAATCTGTTTCAGTGTTTCTTAATGCTACTGAGCACTAAAATGCTTCCCAGAATCAAGATGAAAGTGTGTTAAAAATCTGTATTTATTGTTAAAAGTAAAAATGTTATTTAGAACACTTATATTTCCAATTCCTCTCATGTTTTCAGATGACAGAGTGTTTTCCTTTGATATTTAACTTCTATGCTTCCAGAAATACTTTGTAAATGTTCTCCTCTCTTCCCTTCCCATTCTCTCCCTGCCCTCAGAATATATTCCTCATTTATTCAAAAAGATTTCTTCCTGAAAACGTTCCATTATTAAAAAATCTCAATTATGCTTATAATTAACCCGTTTTTTGAAGCTGTATTCCATTCACTCCATCAGATCTTCTGCCCTCCACTGCTCCCTGGTAGACCCACAGGACAACGATCTCTATGAACTGCATCAAGTGTTTCCCTTGCCCTGCAGTTTCTAGTGGAGTTTGGCTAATGGATATCCCTGGCAGGAGATCAGAGGTAGGTAGGAAAATTTATTTTCCTCGCTTCTTTTCTGCAGGTTGATTGTATACCTCTGCCAAAGGTCACAGCTCTTGACGGGTGATGCTTGCTACATGAATCGCTCTACGGGTTTTAGTCCTTTCAGATATAAGGGTGATTACAGGTCTCTCCACTATAACTGGCCCTGGGGTATAGAAATCTCTTTTGATTTCTCTATACCCTGTTCCAGGTTTGTAGGTCATCATTTTATTAATTTCATCTCAAATTATCCAATTTGAGGACATAATCTGTTATATGCAATACCCTGACATGATTAATTTTATAAATAAACAATACAAAAATAGAGTAAAACATGAACATCCTCATTACATCTTTTGATTTTGAATACTGAAAATACAATTCAAATTGGCCTAAGCACCTGAATTGTTCTAGTTCTCTGAGTCAATATATCACATGCAGAAGGATGCACTTTTCTGCATACTTGTGGTTTAAATGGGCCAGAACAGTTCAGGGTAACATCAAGCATGCTTTTGCATATATTACTCTAGAATGATTGTGTATCAGTTAGGGTCCATTCAGAAGACAAAATCAAGTCAGTTATTTTAACAGAAATGGTTTTATATAAACAATTGTTAATTAGGTACTAAAGACTTAAAATGGCAAAAAGAAAAATAATTGCATTGTTATGGAAGGAGTTTCTATAGGCTGCAGCTACCCTACTATGACCGGGTATGCAAACACAGTCTTGGAGGAAGATCTGTGCAGAGCTGAAACTCAGACCTCAGATAAAGTGTGCTGCTTCACCCATGCCTGTGTCTCTTTGCTTGAGGGAAATATCTTATGGGACTAGGACCCAGGCCTCTGAAGAGGAATGCTGATTGACAGCATCAGGGGCTGCTATTTTTGCAGGAGCACATTGAGAGTGATTCTGCAAATGTTGAAGAACTGCAAAGTCAATTAAACATTCTACAGAGACAAACTGCTGCTACCAGCAGGAAGAGGTGAGATGAGGCTAAGGTGATGCTCAATGACAGGAAGCAAATGGGAAGCCAGCACCAAACAAACAAAATGGAGCAAGTCTCTTTTCCCTCTTCCATCCTTACAGCTCCCTCTAGTGCTTTCTACTAGCCAAGGCTAAGAGGAAGGCAGCTGGCAAAGCAGACATGAAGCTTGCAGATTTCCAGTCCAGCTTCACAGCGCAGAGTGTAGAAGAAACAGCGTGAGCTGAGAGGCAATAACTTAGTAACTATGTAAGGTAACAACCAGAGGTCAACTATACTCATTGATTAGAAACACAGTTGCAGGATTCCTACTTTATCAAACCTTATATGAGGCTAGATTTTCTTAACCACAGGAAAGTTTTAGTCCTTTCGACTTTCTACTTGGGAAGTTAATATGACAAAGAAAACAATTATAACAAAATATGAGAAGTGCCATGACAGGAGCTATAATATGAAGCTTTTAGAATGGCATTTCAATTAGCAATGTAGGGTCCAGGGAGAGCATTTGATTGGAGGTAATGTTGAAGTTGGATTTGAATCCTGAAAAGATTCAATAGACAGGAGCCTACTGAGTAGATACTAGAATTAACTCAAAAGCTTGATAACAATATTTGGGAAAACAGGAAGGTCAAACATCAGAAAATACAGGTAATTTCCACTGGAGGAATTTCCTGGTTAGAACACAAGAACCACTCACTCTGTTGTTCCTGAATACCACTGAACCAGACCTACTGTCACTGGGCACAGCTGCCGTGAACACAGCGATGGTCAATAATTTTTCACAGGCCTTTTTAAATTTTGTATTACTTCCTGAAAATTCAAAGTGGGCCATCCAGTAGGTTGAACCTAGTCAGTTGCCCTGCTCTAGGTGCCAGGGGAAAGAAAGAAGAATATATGACCTTTTCAGTCTGACCTTAAATTCTGGCTTCCTCCAAGATTTACATAGTAAGGATTTTTTTTTTTTTTTTTTCTTTGACAGAGTCTTGCTCTGTCACCCAGACTGGAGTGGAATGGAGTAGCTGGGACTACAGATGCATGCTACCATGCCCGGCTAATTTTTGTATTTTTAGTAGAGACAGGGTTTCACCATGTTAGTCAGGATCTTCTCAAACTCCTGACCTCATGATCCATCCGCCTCGGCCTCCCAAAGTACTGGAATTACAGGCGTGAGCCACCACGCCCAGCCCATAGTATGGATTTTAATCCCAAATAAGGTAAACATGTGCATGATAGGTTCACAACATTCCCACTAGCAATTATCTCTTTGGCAACCTAGAATTCATATAAAATCTTTTGCCCATTCTAATCAAAAAAACTTCCTGTCTTGTACTATGAAACTTCCTCTCATAGCAAAAATCCAGTTTACCGGTGTCCCAAAAGGAGACAGTTTTAACCCTCTTCAGTTATAGCATCTGGCTCCAACAGTAGAATCTCTGGATAATCTCCATATTGAACCGAGATCTCCTAGATCCAGTCTTGATCTTGCCATAGTAGTGACTGAAAGAAAGGAAAAGTAGATTTATGTAAATCTTTCATTCTTAGGGGTTCTGAACTCCTGCCAGTTTTATATGTACAGCTCAGTCTTTTACAAATAAATATGGTCACATAAAAATTCCCCATGGGACCAACTGGGGACCCACCCTTCCTGATGTATTATGTATCATCAATTATCTTTCCTCTTGACTTTCAATATCAATTACCCTATACAACACACTAACCCACCTGATTGTTTGCTGACTCAGGTCATGAGATTCTGAATTGGCCAGCTGGCAATGTTTACTCCCATGCAACCATTACTGAATACCCTGGTGTAACATTTCTCCCTTGAATATTACTAGTTTCTAAACCAGTATTCCCATTATTTCAGAGATAGGAATAAAGATATTGTGAATAACTAATTAGGTTTAATTGGAAGATGTACTAATTTCAATTCTATTGTGTACTGACTGAAATAAATAGCAATATATATGTTTCAAATGTTTCAAATCATAGGTAGTATCCTATGACATGATACCTAACTTATTCTTCAATAAAGTATATAAGACTAAAGTAACCTAAGGGCATTACCCCATTTTCCTGCTTTGTTCATAGGAAATTGAGTTCCTTGCTTGGAAGAAATTATGAGAAATATAATGACATTGAATTAAGCATTCAGTTGTGTAAGGTATAACGATGCTGACTTGAGGCACTACATGAATCCTTCACGACAAAAGCAGTAAAACAATCATCAACTGACTTCAAACAAACACTTGTCCAAACAGTTATCCTATAGTATTGTAGGTTTGTATTTACTACTTTTGGTAAAATATCTTGGTACACTGCTAAGGGGAAACCTGTGTTGTTGTGCTTGTGAGTAGCCACTATCTTTTCAATCATGGCCACTTTGTTCATTAAATTCTAAAGTTGCTATAGAAGGAAGATGACCTACATTGGGAGATTAGGTTATCTTGTCCATCTAAATGTATGAGCTGTTTGGCTAGAAATGTCCTTTGCATTAATATGTAGCATGAATATTCTTTATGTTCTGAGCCCATTTTAAAAAATTCTTCCATGATTCTCTTCCCCAATGCCCCACTCCCACCAAAAAAAAAAAATCTGTCATTAGTCCCCCACGTCAGTTCCTTTGAGATCCCTTATCTAGTTTCTAGGCAAACTGGCAGCCATTTGCCGTAAATTCTGGTAAGTTGATATTTAAGGCAATTTGAAACTATTATCAAAGCACAAGAGAAAACTGGACTTCTCGTGGCATTATTTTGCCCATGAGCTCCACAAGTCATCCAGTAGGTTTCAGAGAGAAAATCCTCCCAATTGGCAAAATAGATTAATGTGTTTAATGCTTGTGTCTAAGCATCTCCAAAAGATCTTAGCAGTTCCATTTTCCCAGGGCATCCTTACCTTGGTAAGTCGCGATGGGTGTCTTTAAGAAGAGGTACAAGGAATTTTCATAGTGTATTCTTCAGTGTCAATGGGCTATCAATGGGAGTTAGTGTTCAGGGTGCCAAAATATCTTTCCCTACCAATTCTCTAATTTTTACGTAAGAGACGAGGAAAAGCTCTGAATTCAACTGATAGTCTAATTTTACTATCTCTAATACCACATTTTGTTTTTTGCCAGCTCAGTCCCTGCAGCAACAAAAGATAAGAGATTCTTTTATCTTGATCCTAGAAACTCCATGTATTTCAGTCTGTGCTATGAGCCTAGAATTCAAGGATTTTAACTTGTCATTCTGTTTCTTTAAGCTGTCCATTGATGTTCAAAACAGCTGCCCCTTCTCTAAGTCCATAAATTCCTCACGTACACCCCACTATTCTGTGGTGGGGGCAATTCAATTCCCAAAGCATCACTGCAATGATGCCAGGTGACTACAGACAACAATTTGATTAACTTTTTCACTATTACTGAATTCCTGTCTTGGCATTTAAGCAAGATTTTGACTGGTTTCTGCCCCAGCTATGCCAGATGAACAATTAATAGTTTCCACATTTCCTTGAAAGTATCTGATGCACCCCATTCCCAGGTACCAATTTCTCTCTCAGTTGGAAATTTTGGATGTGAGCAGAAAAAGCAGTTCTAGCTAAAAGGATAATTGTTGAAAGAATGTTGGGTAGCTCACAGAATTAGCTGGCATGATGGGGTACCTGCTAAGAAAATGGGCAGAAAACAACAGAAGCTTTGTAGAGGGAACCACGGCCAAGAGTATGATGAAGAAATACTCTTGTTTGGATGCCCCAGAGGTACTACCAGTGCCATCAACAAGATCTGTTGCTGGATACTACCACTGCTACATACAGCAGAAAATAATAAATGGTGGATCCAAAAGACACAAATCCAAACATAGATCATTATTATGCATGAGAAAGAATGCAAAACAAACAGGAGAGAAACAGAAGTTCATCTCTTGGTGATATACAGAAATATAACAGAGGAAATCATTATTTGAGATTTAAATGGGGAGGGGTTGTGAGAGGCATTTGGGTAATGTGCCATCATCACCCGATACCTTCCATTATGGCCAATAATCAGCTGGATGGCTTTGAAAATATCACTTTTTCTTTACTATAACTGGTTCAATGTTTCTACAATAAAGACAATAATATCTCTACCAAATGATACACCTTGAGGAAAAATTGGTATATATATATATATCACATGGAATACTGCCCAGCACATAGTATACACTTTATAGGTGTTAGTTACCTATTTGTGGTACTATTGAAGTAATAGCAACATTAGAGTCACTTCAAGTTTGAGGAAAACATAATTAAAAATGTATGAGTACAAAGAGAAGGAACATTTGTGCAACTCTTACTGTAATCACTTTTTAAACTGTCACTGTAACAACTTGGTCAATTAAGTATCTCCCACTTTTTATCTTATCCTAAACAAATTAAGCAATAATCATTGCAAAAGTGTTTTTCTCAAAGCTGAAACACTTGTCTTCAGATTAAAGTTTCTTTATAAAAAGTACTTAATATCCTGAGAATAGAAAGAAAATTTAGCTAAGCATATCTAATAAGAACCAAAACACAATATATGTGCTGATAAAACATTAATGGAGATTCCATTAAAATGAGAAATAAGGCAAGGATGCCACTGTGACTACTGCTTCTGCTTCTAGTTAATTTGATTATACAAACTAATACATATAGGATATGTGAGAATGATAGGAAAATATCACTCTTGCAGAAAACATGATTATCTCAAAAGAAAACAAAGGAATTCATAAAACACAAATTTTTAAAAGTAAGCCTAGTAAAACACTTCCAAAAAAATGATTGAGAGCAAGATGGCCAACTAGAAGCCCCCAGCACTCATCTCCCCTACAAAGACAGCAGAAACAATAATATTTTCTAATGAAAATAACGGAAGGAGAGCACTGGAGTACACGAAAGAAGTAACAGAAACCTTGTAGATCAAAGAAGCCCAGGATAGCCACATAGAGAACAGAAGGAAACATCTTGCCTCTGTCACTCCATCACCTAGTTGGAATCCACTTAGAACCAAGGGGAAATTCTTCCTATAGGGAAAAGGTAAGCAAATTCCCCATCATCCCCCATCACCACCTTGAATACCTACAGTCCTCACAGTAGGGACTACTGCAATCCTCACAAGCACTAAGCCCAGCTGAGGGAGCTGCCTGGGATGCACACAGCTGCACCCCACCCCCTGACCCAGAGAAGGCATCAACACTGTGTCCATCCCACTCATACCTCCCAACATGGCCCAAACCACTATCATACTACACCATCTTGGAACCATAAATATTGCTTGGGGACAAATAATCAAGATACCCTTCCATCAGTTAGGCTTTGTCACCTCTGAACCACTCTCACCTCATGGCTCATCACCCTTGGGCCAAGCTTATACTACATGCTAACATATGGGGACAAGTTGCCATGAAGCCATTCCATCGGCTTTTCTCAGCTACTGCTGTGCCATGCCCCTCAGGGGCTAAGCTGAAGCAGTGTGCTACCTCACAGAGAAATGGTACTTTAGCTGCCCAGAGCAGTCACACCCTTCTTGTGCTTGAGCTGAAATGGAGCCCTGACTCATGGGGAATTTGTGCTTTGGCCAAGTCAAGCATCTGTGCATCCCAGAACTGAACTGACATGGTACCCCACATCCCAGGGAAACAGAGGATTGACCGAGCTGAGACACACTCCCATATAGGCCAAACAACTGTAGTACCCTGCTGCTCTGGAACTAGAATAACACCCTAGAGTCTGAGCTGTTGACACAACGTCCTACCCAGGGAATGGAATCATCACTGAGCTGTCCCCTGTCCCCCAGGGCTCAAGTGATTGCTTGCTCTGCCATTCTGGGTTTATTGCTGCCACTGAACCTGAAAACACTGCTGTATACCACCATCTTAGATCCAGAGTCACCACTATGTGATGCTGCATCTTCTGGTGACTGAGTAGCCATAGTGCCCTATTGGATCTCATTCTCAAATTCCAGCTGTACTCTGCTGGGTGTGCTCAAATCTTCAGGGAATCCTCTTTTCCCTGGAGCCAGGGCATTTCTATACCCTGCCCTTCAGGGACAGAATTACAGCTAAAACTTGTCCCCCAGGGCCTGAGCTTCTGGGGGTTCTCAGAGTCACAGATCCTAGCTTTGTAGGCAATCCACATCCCACACTGACTCAGAAACTGAACATATGCCCTGAGACCCAGGTGGCACAATAGGTTCTCTGGACCCTGAGACCAGGACCTCAGCACCACAACCACTCTGAGCACTTGCAGTCTAGAACCCATAACTTCTGAAGCTGATTGTGGGCTGTATCATATTCAACATGAAGAGGGATCCCCTTTGTATATTGAAGAAATATCCCCCTTGGACCCCAAGAAGGAACCAAGACTGTCTATTGTAAGGAAAAATGAGGAGAGAAGAATCCCAAAAGCCCTTGAAACCAAGGGTCTTAACAACCTACACTTCCATAGCCATTTCCATAGACTCCTACAGCCTAGGCCTCTGAGGCATCCAGAGTCATCTCTGATTTTGAGTGCAAATGAAGGAGTTGATAGTATGGCATAGATGCTATACTATCGCATCCACTCAGAAACAGTCAACATACCCTTTCCCTCTGGTACTCTAAGGTCCATCTGAAGGTAAAAATCTTTTTCTATGAAAGCCAATCTAAAATTTGGAGAGGTGATTTTTCTACTGGATGTGCAGACATCAACACAGGGGCACAAACCACATGAAAAAGCAAAGAAGTATACACCGTCAAAGGAACACAATAATTCTCCAGTAGCTTTCTTAAAGTAAAGAAAATTTACAAATTCCCCCCAAAAAACTAAAAATAATAATCCTAAGAAAACTCAACAAGATAAAAGAGAATACATAAAGGTAATTCGAAAAAATCAGAAAAAAACAGTTCATGCTTTAAATGAGAAATTTAACAAAGAGATAAATATCATAAAAGAGAACCAAACACAAATCTTGAAGCTGAAGAATTCAATAAATGTAATGTAAAATATAATCAAGAGCTTCATCAATAGACTAGATCTAGCAGAAGAAAGTACCTGTGAACTTAAAGATAGGTCTTTTGAAATTACCAAGTGACAGCATAAAAAGAAAGAATAATAAAAAATAATAAAAATAGCATATGAGACTCCTGGGACACAATTAAGTAAATTAAATATTCACAGCATCGGAGTTCTAGAAAGAAGAGAGATGAAGATAAGGTCAATAAGCTTATTTAGTGAAATAATTACTGAAAAAACCCCAAGTCTTGGAAGAAATATAAACATCCAGATCCATGGAGCTCAAATATTCTCAAACAGATTCAACCCAAAAAGGTCCTCTCTGAGGCACATTATTATTAAACTATCAAAAGTCAAAGACAAAGAGAATTTTACAAGTGGCAAGAGAAAAGTGTCAAGTGACATAGCAGAAAATCATGTAGACTATCAGCATATTTCTCAGCAGAAACCTTATAGGCCAGGAGACAATGAGATGTTTTATTCAAAGTGTGAGAAAACAAAACAGAACAAAAACTGTCAACCAAGAATACTATACCCATTGTATCTGTCCTTCAGAAATGAAGAAAAAAATGAAAAAAAAATGTTTCTCAAATGAATGGCCTAACATTATGCCTCAAGGATCTAGGAAAAAAAGAACAAACTAAATCAAAAGTTAGCAAAAGGAATAAAATGGTAAAGAATAGAAAATAAATAAATAAATAACAGAAAACCTATACAAAAATAGCTATAAAACTAATGGTTATTTTTTAAAAATACACAAAATTTAACAAAATCTTAGCTAAATTACCTAAGAAACAACGAGAGAAGATTCAAGTATGTAAAATCAGAAGTAAAATTGGATGTATTAAAACAGACTCCTCAGAAACAAAAAGGATGTTGGACTATTAGAAAAATTATATGCCAATAAGTTTGATAGCCTCAAAAAATAGATAAATTCCTAGAAAATTACAACCTAACAGGATTGAATCAAAAAGAAATATAAAGCCTGAAGAGACCAATAACAAAAGAATAAATTAAAGCTGTAATTAAAAGCCTCCCCACCTTCCCCCCACAAAATGCCCAGGACCAGATGGCTTTACCTTTGAATTCTACAAAGCTTTCAAAGAAGAATTAATACCAATAGTTTTAAAACTCTTCCAAACAGTAGAATACTTCTTAGCACATTTTACAAGGCCAGCATGACTATCACATGTGAGCCAAAGATACCACAAGAAAATAAAACTACAGACCAATATCTCTTATGCATATTAATGCAAAATTCTTCAAAAAATATTGGCAAATCAAATTCAACAGCACATAAAATAAATTATGCATCATGATAAAGTAGAATTTATTCCTGGTATGCAAAGCTGGTTTACCAAATGCAAATCAACAAATGTGTTACATCATATTAATAGAATAAAAGGCAAAAACTACCTGATCATAACAATTGATTCAGCAAAAGCATTCAACAAATTTCAACATCATTTCTTGATAAAAAACTTCTAAGACTTTAGGTATACAAGGAAAGTTCCTTAACATAATAAAGGCCATTTATGAAAAACCCATAGCTAACATCATAGCTAATGGGGAGAAACTGAGACTTTATCTTTAAGATCTGGCACAAGGCAAATATGCACACTCTAGCTCCTTCTTTTCAACATAGTACTGGTAGTGCTGTCAAGAACAATTAGACAAATAAAAATAAATAAAAAGTATCCAAACCTGAAAAGAAGAAGTAAAATTGTCTCTATTTGCAGAATACATAATCCTATATGTAGAAAATGCCAAAGATTCCATTGAAAAACTGTTAGCTTTAATTAATGAGTTCAGTAAAATTTCAGAATATAAAATCAATATAAAAACCCATGACATTTTTATACACAGAGAATTGCCTACCCAAAAAAAAATCAAGAAAAGAATCCCATTTATGATAATATTAAATAATAAAATAAAATACTTAGGAATCAATTTAACCAAGAGGTGAAAGATTGTCCACTGAAAACTATAGAACATTGATGAAAGAAATTGTATTAGTCCATTCTCATGCTGCTAATAAAGACATACCTGAGACATGGTAATTTATAAAGGAAAGAGGTTTAATTGACTCACAGTTAAGCATGGCTGAGGGGGGCCTCAGGAAACTTACAATCATGGCAGAAGGTAAAGCAAGCACATCCTTCTTCACATGGTGGCAGCAAGGAGAAGTGCTGAGCAAAAATGGGGAAATGCCCCTTATAAAACCATCAGATCTTGTGAGAACTCACTCACTATCATGAGAACAGCATGTGGGCAACTGTCCCCATAATTAAACTACCTGCCGCTGCCCACTGGGTCCCTCCCACAACACGTGGGGATTATGGGATCTACAATTTAAGATGAGATTTGGGTGGGGACACAGCCAAACAATATCAGAAATTAAAGAAAAAGCCAATAAATAAAATATATTCCATGGTCATGGATTAAAAGAATTAATGTTGTTAAAAAGTCCATACTACCTAAAGCAATATATAGATTTAATGCAGTTCCTATTAATATCCCAATGGCATTCTTCACAGAATAGAAAAACTAATGCTAAAATTGGACACCCAAAAAAACCCCTAAATTGCCAAAGCAATCCTGAGGCAGAGGAGTGGGGAAACAAAGTTGGAAGCATCACATTTCTTGATTTAAAATCATATTACAATGCTATAGTAATCAAAATAGCATGGTTCCAACATAAATGCAGACACATAGATGAGGGGAACAAAATATAGAGCCCCCAAATGAATTGAAACATACATGGTCAATTAATTTGTGACTAGGGCACCAAAAAGACACAATGGTGAAAGGTTAATCCTTCCATAAATTATTTTAAGAAAACCATGTCTTCATTTGCAAAAGCATGAAATTAGACCTTTATCTTACACCATACACATAAATCAACTCAAAAATATATAAAAGGTGGCCGGGCACGGTGGCTCACACCTGAAATCCCAGCACTTCGGGAGGCCGAGGTGTGCGGATCACGAGGTCAGGAAATCGAGACCATCCTGACTAATACGGTGAAACCCCATCTCCACTAAAAATACAAAAAATTAGCCGGGCGTGGTGGCAGGCGCCTGTAGTCCCAGCTATTCGGGAGGCTGAGGCAGGAGAATGGCGTGAACCTGGGAGGCAGAGCTTGCAGTGAGCAGAGCTTGAGCCGTTGCACTCCAGTTTGGGCAACAGAGCGAGACTCTGTCTCAAAAAAAAAAATAATGTATAAAAAATATAAATGTAAGACCTGAAACCATAAAAATCCTAGAAGAAAACATAGATGAAGAGTTCTTTGACATTTGCCTTGCAATAATTTATTGGATATCACATCAAAAGCTCAGGCATCCAAAGCAAAAATAAATAAACTGGACTACATCAAACTAAAAAGCTCCTGCACAGCAAAATAAACAGTCAAGAAAATAAAAAGGCAACCTATAATTTGGAAAAATATTAGATAAGGGGTTAATATCCAAGAGTTATAAAAGAATTCATGCAACTCAATAGCAAGAAAACATATAGCCTGATTTAAAAATAGGCAAAAGACTTGTATAAAAATTTCTCCAAAGATGTCACAAAAATGGCCAAGAGGTAATATGAAAAGATGCTCAATATCACTAATCATCAGGGAAATTCAAATTAAAACCACTATGAGATACGACTTTACACCTGTTAAATTAGCTGTTGTTAAAAAGAATTTCTAAGCCGAGGCAGGTGGATCACAAGGTCAAGAGATTGAGACCATCCTGGCCAACATTGTGAAACCCCGTCTCTACTAAAAATATAAAAATTAGCTGGATGTGGTGGTGTGTGCCATAGCCCCAGCTACTTGGGAGGCTGAGGCAGGAGAATTACTTGAACCTGGGAGGCGGAGCTTACAGTGAGCCGAGATCGCACCACTGCACTCCATTCTAGCAACAGAGTGAGACTCCATCTCAAAATAAATAAATAAATAAATAAATAAATAAATAAAAGAAAAGAAAACAGAAATAAGGCGTGTTAGAGAGAGTGTAGAGGAAAGGGAACCCGAGTATGCTGTTGGTGGGAATGTAGATTGATGCAGTCATTATGGAAAACAGTATGGCAGTTCCTAAAGAACCTACTAAAAGAACTGCTATGTAATACAACAATCCCTCCCCTGTGTATATACCCAAGGGAAATAAAATCAACACCTCATAAACATACCTGCACTCTCATGTGCACTGTAGCATTATTCACAATAGCCAAGCTATAGAAACAAACTAGGTGTCCATCAATGGACTAATAGATAAAGAAATAGTAGTAAAAATGCAATGGAATATTATTCAGCCTTAAAAAAGGAAGAGACACTGCCATTTATTAAAGTATAGATGAACCTAGAGGACATTATGCTAAGTAAAATAAATCACATGCCAGACACAGAAATAAAATATTACTTGCTGGCACTTTAGGTTGCATGCAACCTAAAAATAAAGGTCAAATATATACAGGGAGAGTAGAGTAATTGTTATCAGGGTGAAGAGAGAAAATAACGGAAGTAGATGAAAGGATATAAAGTAGCAAATACATGGGATAAAGGAGTAGAAAGACTGGATGTACACCATGAGGACTATAGCTAATAACAGTGTATTGTATTCAGGAGTTTTGCTAAATTAGTGAATTATAGCTGTTCTTGCCAAGGGGTGGGGGAGGACAATGTGTAACTATGTGAGATGATGGATATGTTAATTTGTTCCACTATAATAACTGTTTTACCATATCTTATAACAACATGCTACATATCTTAAATATACACAATAAAATTTATTTAAGAAGAAATAAATTCCCAAGTGAGAAGAAAAAGAATTGAGTACAATTTCAACAACAACAACAAAAATATATGTCTTTACTAGTCACATGCACAAGCCATCATGACTGGAAAATCTAATGGATATACATAATAAAAATGTAGTGAAATATTTAAAAAAATCCTTTACAGTGATAGGAAAATCTCTAAATTTCCCCTAGATTAATCTGATAAGAATGTGTAAAATCTGAGTGGAGGAAAAATACAACTTTCCTATAAATATAAAACAAATTAAGAATGCTTTTTCATGGATGATAAGCATCAATCTTAATTCTTAATTCTCTGTAATTGTTCATTCTCCTCCAAATCAGCTAATAAATTTAAATAATTCTTAATCAAATTCAAATTTTTAAATTGTACTTGATAAACTGATTCTAAACTAGTTTTGTTTGATTTCTTGCTTATTTTTTTCCTTGAAACCAATTTCTTACATAAAAGTATTATTATTAATATTTTTGTTTTTGAGATGGACTCTTGCTCTGTCACCCAGACTGGACTGCAATGGTACAATCTTGGCTCACTGCAATCTCAGCCTCCTGGGTGCAAACAATTCTCCTGCCTCAGCCTCCTGAGTAGCTGCGATTACAGGCACCCACCACCACACCTGGCTAATTTTTTTGTATTTTTAGTAGAGAGGGGGTTTCACTCTGTTGGCCAGGCTGGTCTCAAACTCCTGACCTCAGGTGATCTGCCTGCCTCAGACTCCCAAAGTGCTGCGATTACAGGCATGAGCCACCACTTCTGGCCGAGAAGTATTATTGAAATTTTGGTAAAGGTAATTATTTGTTGGGTTGGACTTTTTCATTTATTGTAATATTTTAACATCTCTGACCCTCACTTATTAAAGCTAATGATATACCCTCAGTCATTGTGACACTGTAAAACACTTCACACCTTCCAAAAATTCCCTAGTGATATGAACTGACATAGGATTGAGAATTAGTGGTCTGGAAAATATGACATCATAATAAAAAGCCAGACAAGTAAAACATTGTAGCATACACACAGTAATAGACAGATAGGTCAGTAAAACAGAATAAAGAGTGTATTAGTCCATTTTCACACTGGTGATAAAGACATACCCAAGACTGGGAAATTTACAAAGAAAGAGGTTTAATTGACTTACAGTTCCATGTGGCTGGGGAGACATCAAAATCATGGTGGAAAGTGAAAGGCACATCTCACATGGCAGCAGAAAAGAGAAGAGAGAGAGCTTGTTCAGGGAAATTCCCATTTTTAAAACTATCAGATCTTGTGAGACTTACTCACTATCATGAAAACAGCACTTGAAAGACCTGCCCCATGATTCAATTACCTCCCACTGGGTCTGTCCTACAACACAAGGAAATTTAAGATGAGATTTGAGTGGGGACAAGCCAAACCATATCATTCCACTCAAGCCCCTCCCATATCTCATGTCCCCACATTTCAAAACCATTCATGTCTTTTTAACATTCCCTGAAGTCTTAACTCATTTCAGCATTAACTCAAAAGTTCTCAGTCCAAAGTATCTTCCAAGACAAGGCAACTCCCTTCTGCCTATGAGCATGTAAAATCAAAAGCAAGTTAGTTATTTCCTAAATCCAATGGGGATACAGGCATTGGGTAAACACAGCATTTCCAATGGAAGAAACTGGCCAAAATGAAAGGGGCTACAGGCCCCATGCAAATCTGCAATCCAGCAGGGCAGTTAAATCTTAAAGCTCCAAAATGATCTCCTTTGACTCCATGTCTCACATCCAGGTCATGCTGATGCAAGAGGTGGGTTCTCATGGTCTTGGGCAGCCCTGCCGCTGTTGCATTGCAGAGTACAGCCTCCCTCCTGGCTGCTTTCTGCTTTACCAGGCTGGCATTGAGAGTCTGCAGCTTTTTTAGGCACATGGTGCAGGTTGTCAGTGGATCTACCATTCTAGGGTCTGGAGGTTGGTGACACTCTTCTCACAGCTCCACTAGGTGGTGCCCCAGTAGGGACTCTATGTGGGGGCTCCAACCCCACATTTCCCTTCTGCACTGCCCTAGCAGAGGTTCTCCATGAGGGCCCCATCTCTGCAGCAAACATCTGCCTGGACATCCAGGTATTTCCATACATCCACTGCAATCTAGGCAGAGGTTCTCAAACCTCAATTCTTGACTTCTGTGCACTCCCAGGCTCAATATCATGTGGAAACTGCTAAGGCTTAAGGCTTGCACCCCGTGAAGCCATGGCCTGAGCTCTACATTGGCCCCTTTCGGTCACAGCTGGAACCACTGGGTTGCAGGGTACCAAGTCCCTAGGCTACATACAGCAAAGGACCCTAAGCCTGGCCCATGAAACCACTTTTTCTTCCTAGGCCTCCAGGCCTACGATGGGAGGGGCTGCTGTGAAGGCCTCTGACATGCCCTGGAGACAATTTCCCCTTTCTCTTTGGGATTAATATTCATTTCCTAGTTACTTATGTAAATTTCTGCAGCCAGCTTGAATTTATCCTTAGAAAGTGAGATTTTGTTTTCTATTACATTGCCAGGCCGCACATTTTCTGAACTTTTATGCTCTGCTTCCCTTGTAAAACTGAATGCCTATAACAGCACCCATGTCACATCTTGAATGCTTTGCTGCTTAGAAATTTCTTCTGCCAGATACCCTAAATTATATCTCTCAATTTCAAAGTTCCACAGATCTCTAGGGCAGGGGCAAAATGCCTCCAGTCTCTTTGCTAAAACATAACAAGAGTCACCTTTGCTCCAGTTCCCAACAAGTTCTTCATTTCCATCTGAGACTACCTCATCTTGGACTTTGTTGTCCATATTGCTACCAGCATTTTGGGAAAAGTCATTCAACAAGTCTCCAGGAAGTTCCAAACCTTCCCACATTTTCCTGTCTTCTTCTGAGCCCTCCAAACTATTCCATCCTCTGCCTGTTACACTGTTCCAAAGTCATTTCCACATTTTTGGTTATATTTTCAGCAGTACCCCACTCTACTGGCATCAATTTACTGTATCAGTCAATTTTCACGCAGCTTATAAAGACATACCCAAGAATGGGTAATTTACAAAGTAAGAGATTTAGTGGATTTATAGTTCCACATGGCTGTGGAGGCCTCATAATCATGGCGAAGGTGAAAGGCACATCTCATGTGTCAGCAGACAAGAGAAGAGAGTTTGTGCAGGAAAACTCCCGTTTTTAAAACCATCAGATCTCGTGCAACTTATTCATTATCACAAGAACAGCACTGAAAAGACTTGCCTCCATGATTCAGTTACCTCCCACCAGGTCCTTCCCACAACACGTGGATATTTAAGATGAGATTTGGGTGGGGACACAGCCAAACCGTATCGGAGAGTGTGAAATAAATCTATGCATATATATATAAATTTTGCTAGCAGTAAGCATTATTTTTGTAAACATTGAGAGAAAGATTGATTTTGTATAAAATGGAGTCAAAGACAAAAATCATGTTAGAGACTTACCTCATCCAGTATATACACACACATGCACATACAAACAAGTTATGCAGATTGATTAAAACATTAAATATAAATACATACGTAAACATCTGGGGGAAACTACAGAAGAGTACTTATAGAAACTTTATATAAGCAATATCTTCTGTAGGAAGAAAAAAATAGAAAACAATGATAAACTTGTCTACAAAAATATTTAAGATCTTATGCTGGTAGACATCATTTAAAATGTTAAAAGCAAAGTGGCCTGCAGAGTAACAAGAAAAAAATCAGTGAATGATTAATATCCATAATATAAACTGTTCTTATAAAAGATAAGAAATAAAAGTCAATTTAAAAAATAGTAACAAATAAGCCAATGAAGAAAGCATAAAATCAGTTTGACAATTTATTCTTTACTTTTAACTTTTATTTTAGAATCAGGGAGTACATGTGCAGATTTATTACAAACATGTATTGTGTGATGCTGAGGTTTGGAGTACAAATGATTTCGTCACCCAGGTAGTGAGCATAGTACCCAAAAGTTAGTTTATTTCCACCCTTAATCCCCTCCTAACCCTTGTATTCCTCAGTGTCTATTGTTACCATTCTTATGACCATTTATAAGTGAGAACATGTGGTATTTGCTTTTCTGTTTCTGTGTTTGTTCACTTAGGATAATGGTTTCCAGCTGCATCCATGTTGCTGCAAAGAACATGATTTCATCATTTTTAATGGCTGCATAGTATTCCATAGTGTATATGTATCACATTTTTAAAAATATTCCAGTCTGCCATTGGTGGACACCTGGGTTGATTCCATGCCTTTTCTATTGTAAATAGTGACAAACATATGGGTGCATGTGTCCTTTTGGTAGAATTATTTACTTGCCTTTGGGTATGCACCTGGTAACAAGATTGCTGGATCAAATGGTAATTCAACTCTCAATTCTTTGAGAAATCATCAAACTGCCAATGAAAAAATGCTAATCACCACTAATCATCAGAGAAATGCAAATCAAAACCACAATGAGATACCATCTCACACCAGTCAGAATGGCTTTTATTAAAAAGTCAAAAAATAACATATGGTGGTGAGGCTGCTGAGAAAATGAAACACTTATACACTGTTGGTGGGAATGTGAATTAGTTTGACAATTTTTGAAACAAACACACAGACACACGCACACACACATATCCTCTAGGAATATTGCTTGAGAGCAGATGCAAATAAATAAATTTGTTAATTTGTAATGACATCATTACAGTATTGAGACTTCCAACACAGCATATCATTTTACCGAAAAAAAATGTTTTCCAGACAAATCTACAACTTTCTTCAATTGAAGACTAATTCTGATATTCAAAATGTCCCTTCAGTATCAGAAAAGAAAAGCATAAAACAGAAAGAAAGACAGAAGGAGAGAGAGTAAAAAGTAGAGAAGGGAAGGGAAGGGAAGGGAAGGGAAGAGAAGAGAAGGGAAGGGGCAGGGCAAAGGCAAGGCAGAGGGAGGAAGCAGGAGGGAAGGAAAGAGGGAGGGAGGGAAGGAAGGAAGGAAGAAGGTAAGTAAGAAAAAGAAAAAAGAAAGTGAGAAAGAAGGAAGGGAGAAGGAAGGAAAGAAAGAAGGAAGGAAGGAAAGAAGGAAGGAAGGAAATAAAGATGGGAGAGAACGAAAGGGAGTAAACCTAGTTATCTTTTGATGAAATCTATGAGTTTCAAGGCCTAAACAAAACCTAATGTTGAAAATGAGGAATAATTTTTCAAGAAAGTTATTATCAGAAAGGAATAAAAATTGAATTTCTATTCTCTAGAGCATTAATTAGTAGAAGAAAAAATTACACCTAAATGTTTGTAGAGCATTCTTGGAATTAGAAATCCTACAACCACCTTGTTTTTCTAATGTGAAAAAAAAGAGAGAAAAATACCTTTTGGAAATGCAAAACTCTGAATGTATACTATCTCCATATTTCTCCCTCTTTGCTCTCCCATGTGAATTCAAAAGTATAGCTTAGATGACCAGAAGAAAAATCAAAATGATTTAAGAGTTTAATAATACTGTTTTGAGCATTAAAAAGGATAGTAATCAGATAACTAAGTCTAAATAATTGTAAATATATACTAGTTATACATTTTTAATTCTAAAAATAAAACTATAATGTAAACAATAATAACTAACTGTAATAAACCGGGTTTATAAACTAAATATGTTGAGTGATGGTTGGGGAGAAAGTTGAAACTTACCAATTAATTCTTTTAAATAGAAGACCTCAATAGATATAATCTGATTTATCAGGCAGAGCCCTGCATGTAGTGCACAGCAGAGAAGAGGAACTCTGTAAAGGAAACTGAGAAGGGGCAGGCAGACAGGAGGAGAGGATGACATCCTGCAAGCCAAGAGATGGGTGAGGTTTCCAACAAGGGTTTGGCAGTGCCTAAAAGGTGAGAGATCAAATAAGAAAACTAAATGAAAATTATATACTTGTTAATTATTATTAGTGACCTTACCAAAGTAGAAGCAGATTAACAGATTGTAGTATCTGGGGAGAAAAAGAAAATAGATAGCACTTCCAAAAACTTTAATTTTAAGGAGGAAGAGAAAGAGTGTGCTAAATAAAAGGAACTTGAGTTTGAGAGCTTTTGTTTGCTTCTTTCTTTGTTTTAAAAATGAAACAGAATTTTCTACCCTTGTGTAAAACAATACCAAGACCAGACTGTATCTAAGTAAAACAGTATTGATGACTAGGAACTTAGCCACTTCTTCCTGTGAGATATGACTCTGAATCATCTAAAATAATTTATCTATTAAGACGAATACCTTGCCCAAAACTTGCTTTAATGTTTGACTTGCTTTGCTCACCAATCCAGTCATAAACTTTGCCCAATTCCAACCCAGTTTTCTACTTTTGAAATCCACTGCAAAAACATTCAGCCTAGGCCCTAGAACTCTATAAATACATACCTTACCTATCCTCATTCAGACACTGTGAAGATTCTGTCAAGGTAGTGTTCTTTCTTGCTGTAAGTGAGTACTTACTGTCTAATAAGCTTAGCTTGACCTAAACAACAAGTTTTTGGAGGTTGTAAGAAGTAGTAGATGACAATATGTTAAAGCTAAGAGTTGTTCGATTATGTTTAAATCTTGGTAGGAAAATTTGGTAGATTCAAAATCATGGTAGACACAATCAGAAGAGTAACCCACACAGGTGGGAAGGAATGGGAGAGGCATGCAGAAGTAAAGTTGTAGATTTAACCTCAGTTAGAAGAGGCTTCTACACCACTGTCCCAAGAGAGGAGGAGTGAAATGAAGGCAAATATAAGTAATCAGATATGCCTGGCTGGGATAGGGAAAGGGAGAGTCAAGGAGCTAGCAGGTGTTTTGGTGTCTAAGTCACATAACTGCCTCTGTGATCCAAAGTCAGGACACTGCAGCTACCACACCCATGAAACTAATGACCCAACAGTGGAAGAGCTCCTGCCAACACTCACTCCTACCAGAGGCTGTTTTTCTATCAACACTGCCCCAATCAGATGGCATTGACTTTCCTTGTTTTTTCCTTCTATATTAGCATAAATCAAATTCACATCCAGAATGTTAATTACAAGGGGTCTTGGGAGTGTGTTGTTTGCTTTCCAAATTCTCCAAATAGAAGGAAAGTGAAATAAAATGGGGAAAAAAGGTCCAAACCAAGTATTAAGTACAGTTGATCCCTTAATGCAAACTCATCCTTGCCTCTATGGTATGAATCCACATTAGTAATGTACTAAAATTTATTCAGGCATTTGCATCAGTAACCATACATGAGACTGATCTGTAATTATCTTTTATTGTTTTCTGTTAGATTTGTGTATCAGTGTTATGATGCTTTCAGCATAATGTGAAAGTATTCCATTTTCTTCTACGCTCTGGAATATATTAGATAACTTTAGGTTATCCATGTATTAAAGGTGTCATAGGATTCATCCACAGACTCAATTGGGCCTAGTGCTATTTTAGAAGGTAGTGCTTTACAATTTCATGAATTCATTTTATTACCAATGGTCAGTAAAATTT
The DNA here is from genome assembly GCF_000001405.40 of Homo sapiens. Taxonomy (NCBI): domain Eukaryota; kingdom Metazoa; phylum Chordata; class Mammalia; order Primates; family Hominidae; genus Homo; species Homo sapiens. The sequence goes on along the minus strand of NC_000006.12, from coordinate 93,702,382 downwards.
TGTAACCACTCTGAGCTCTAACATAGTAAATTACATTTTTAAAATCAATTTTATTTAGTTTTACAGTATATTTTACTAGATTTGAACAGCTGTATTATTTCCTCATTGAGCATTTAAATATTCTATGTTCTCTTTTCTAAAATAATCACCATATTTGTTTTATTCCCAGTCATTTGTAATTGGTTTCTATGCTAACCTGCCAGCCCCTTTGCCTTAGTTTCTCTATTCGTTTCTTATTTGGATGGGCTACATCCACTAATGGTTTCTTCAACAATGGTTAGTAGAAACAATATTGTCTACTAACAGTATTGTTAGTAGAAACAATATTGTCTACTAACAGTATTGTTAGTAGAAACAATATTGTCTACTAACAGTATTGTTAGTAGAAACAATATTGTCTACTAACAGTATTGTTAGTAGAAACAATACTTGCATGTTCAAAATTATTTGTTTTCCATATATAGAAGGGCAGTTTGGCTGGGTATAGACCTCTTCAGGCACATTTTCTTCATTTTCTTTCCCAAAGTCATTTCAGGCATTGATCCACAGGTTCCAGGCATTAATAATGACTAATAAGAGGCTTGGGAGCCAATCTGATATTTTTTTTCCTGCATAAGCGCCATGAGAACATGGTCTGTTATCCGTCCTGTTCACCATTCTTTCCACAACTGGCAAAATGCCTAAAACAGAGTAAGCAGTCAATAAATATTTGCTGACTAATAGAGTAAGGGAACTGATCTTTTTGCTTGAATGTCTGAAGAACTTTATTTTTATAGTCCAGTAAGTTCACCAGACTATATCTCTAGTTGAGCTTTTCCAAAGACATGGTGTTTCTTTTACTGCAGGGAGGGGTACTTACTATTATTGTGGCTCTCCTTTTTCCTCCTTTCCTAGTTATGATATCCGTGACAATCTTTTGAACTCTTATTCACTTCCACTTTATTTTACTTTTTATCAAACATATCCTCCAGGTGCCTTACTTTGCTTTTATCAGTGGTCTTTCTCCTTTTTTGCCTTCTTCAAATGAGGCCTTAGTTCTTTAACAGTTTTATTTTTCTCCTTTTTTCCAAGCTTAACAGATCATATGTCATCTACTCGCATTAACTTGCAAATTTTATCTGACACCTTATTATGTTTGTATTATAAGAAAAAAAGAAAATGGATAAGTGGAGGCAGGTGGTTAGTTTGGGGTTATCTGTAGCTATCTGAGTTTATTAGTTTGGGACATTAATTCTGAAAACACTATAAAAGCCCAAGTACAAATCTTTAAAATACAAATTCTGTTTCACTGGGCATTCTGTGTTACTAAAATATTCACTAGTGTCTTATTGGTTCTGTTTCTACTTTTTTTTAAAAAATGGGAAATCTTCAGAGAATAATTTGGGACTATGCGGTGTTTGCAAAATGGTTATCTTTAGTAGCATGTTATACTTTTATAAATTTATTAGCATTTCATCTGCATATGCACTATATATAGTTAATATTTATAGGTGTGATAAAAATACATATCCAAATGAGGCATGTTATATCAGTATATACTCAAGCCTACGCAACTCAAAAAAAATAAGGAAAAAACATTTCTTTGAGTGTACTATACTTCCGTGTGCATGGCATTGGCTCTAAAATGTTTTTCACTTTTATATAAAGAGGCTTCTTTTTTGTTAATTTTCCCCAACATATTCATATTTTCCTGTCCTTTCTACAATGAGTTTTAAACCAAGTGATAAGTATTAACAAGCATTTCTTTTTAACTTTTCTAGGATGAATTTCCTGGATATAATAGGATTCCACATAGCACCAAGTTAATTTTTACTTTATTTTTTATAGGAGGTTCATCCATGTTAGTCAGTATTCCAGAACTCATTTTAGAGATCTACATCAATGTATGCAACAGCTTAGTCAATATCTTCACTTAAATGTCTCAACGGCGGGTCCACTGCACTTTATAGATTCAATCAAACAATGCAAAAACCAATTCAAATGCAATTTAAAAACCAAACTTATAGTTTACTTTCCTTAAGCTTTGTCCTTTTTCAGATTTTTTAAAAATGTCAATAAATGGTACCACTGCACACCCAGTTGCACAATCTAGGAACTTAAATGCTGTCCTTAGCAATTTTTCCTTGCCACATAACTCATACTCATTTCAGTTTACCCGTCTTCCCCTCACGACTGATCTCTGTGTTCTGACTTTTTAACCTCTCATATTTCACTATCTTCATTTGCACTAAAACCAACCCTATTTGAGCCACAATCATATACCATATTACTACTGATGCTCTCTATTTGGACATGGCAATGTCCTAGTTCTGATCTCCCTTCTTACCCATCCCTCCTACATTTCATTCTCCACATGGCAACAAGAGAGAAACAAAATTTAACATAAATTGGACTACATCAATCTCTGGTTAATGACATGCACTGACTTTCTTTTGCTCTCAATTTAAAGAATAAAGGCTTTTTATTTTCTTTATAAACTATGTATGATACATCATTACCCACCTCTCTGTCTGCATCCTATCTCATTTGCCCTACTATGTTATAAGCTTTCAAGTTGTCACCATGGGACATATGAAGTTTCTTACTTGTCAGGATACAGTGATTCTTCTGTCTGGCTCCCTCTGGACTCTGAACTCCCTAATGGAATGTCTGTCTTCTGCATATCATTATGTACTTAACACCTAGAACAAGGCCAGGGTGCAGTTCATACCAAATTAAGACAGGTTGAATGAATAATGAATATGAGTGCATCTTCTCAACCAATAAAGTAGTGATTAATTTGTTCCATCAAAATTTTAATGAAAGCCCATTTTATTTTCATATGAATTTAATTGAAATATTGCGAAACAATTAAATAATGTAATTGTTCAGCTTTTACCTGCGTTTGTCATACAAATCGTTTAAACATTTTTTTGAGTAAACTGTTTTTGCAATATTAAAAAACTGTTATTTCTGATCAACATGTATTGAATTCCAAGTATTCTAACTCCTGACTGCTCTGTACTCAATGATATCCCTAAACATAGACTTAATATTTAACACTAAAAATTTAAAGTATCTCTTTAATATCCAAAATTATTATTTCTTTAAACAAGCTATTGTTGAGACACAAAGCTATAAAGTTGGGATATTGTCACCATTTGGATTATAATACTGAAGTGTGTGTGAGATTTTGACAAAGGTGATATTTCATGCTGAACCACAAACTATGTTACTAGGTCCCACTTGAAGGCGGCATCTTGTATAATATTTGCAGGTCAGCTTTCTGGGTTTGGTTTGCACACTATGACTCAGGCTTATGGATAAAAATGACTTTCCAATGTGGGAGAGCATAACAGAAAACATTTTTTATTAATATGCTCTAACAAATTGAATTAACTGAATCTCATGCCTCATCTCTTTTTCTAATCAATTTTAGATTTATTTCTTCCCAGACTAGTAGAATGTGTTTTCTCAAGGTCATGCATAGATCTTGATGAAGAACTTGGACTTTAGGGTCAGAGAGAACTTGGTATAAATCCTGATAATATCATTTAACAGGTTTGTGAGTTCAGAAAGGTCACATAACCTTCTAAACCTACATTTCTTCATCTATGTAATAGAGATGATTGATAATAGTACCATTGTAGAAAAAACTGAATAAATATTAGCCATTATATTACTATTTATTCGACAATGCAACTTTCATCAGTAGTTTCCCTACAGATGTCGCAAATAAAATCGAACTGTACTCACACTCCTAGAATTCAGTCAATGGATTCTGCTATATACTCATGTCTACTCATGTCTACTCATGTCTACACAAAACTCCTGAAAACAAACTTGATTCCAAAGTTGCAACTCGAAACAGAAATTCCACTTTACTATGCACACGACAATGCAAGGTATGCCTTTTCACAAGCCCAGCTTCCAGATGTGCTTAGCTTTTATAATACAGATCCAAATTAGTGTAGATTGTGCTCCAAGATAGACTGCACAGACAACATGATTTCACACAATTGCAGTAGGTGGCTCTTGAGAAAATCAAGCCCAAATGAAATGTATTTCTTTATGGGGTTATGCTTGTAATGCAAAATGTGTTTTAGGAAAGACTAAGTCTTGATGTATTCAATTCTGCATTTGGCCCTTTTTTTTCTCAATTTCAAACCAGATCCAGGTGGGAATATCAAAAGCTAGTGCCCACCCTATGTGTACACCCTGTGTGACAGCATACAAAGATTTTTTTTTTCTTGAGTGAATAAACTGGTCTTATCCACCATCTCTTCCACAATACATGCATACATTTTTAAAAACGGAAAACAAAACCTGACTGCAAAGCATAATTGTAAGTGGTAATACTTACATTTTCATCATATTTATGCAGTAAATAAGCCTGTCAAAAATGGGGTTTAGTTTTGTGGTGTGCCTCCCTTCTGTACTGATATAATTTATTTTGCTCCTCTACTAATGAGGATGGCTTTAGATAGCCATGAGCATCAGTCTGAAATAAAAATTAAAAGTCAGTATATTACATTTCTCCTTCTGTTCTTTCTGCATATTACATTGTTCCATAAGCTCATTGGTGCTAGAATTCTCTCTCTCCTTTGGCACAATTTTCCTCTATGGTATGATGCTATGAAAATTTATGGTAAAACAAAAATAATATAATAATGGGGATTTTCTAAACTTGTGCTGTATATATCTTCAAACAGAAGCTGGGAGGGCTACATCTGTTACCTCCCACTAGAGCAGATCTTTGTGTCCTGTGAAATAGCTGGCTGTCTCAAAGACCTTCACTTCCATGTGAGTTAAATGGCTTCCATACTGAAAAATTCTAAGAGAATTTTTCTCCTTCCGTATATAGTTTTGACTATCATCATCTCTGAAACATTGCCAGATTTTTCTTACATTGAGTAGGCTTCAACTGATATCCTTATTCATCCTTCCTATGTCAACTACTACAATTCATTCTTTTATAGCCACCTTAAATCTTTAGTCTCTAAAATTCCTGGGTCCAGAATGCTCTGAGCAGACTATTATCTTGCTCAGTGAAGCGGGACTGCTTCACCCTCACTCCTCCTCCATCACCTTAACTGACTGGATTTCTTTTCATTTATAAATTTAACTCAAATTGTTTTCTTCTGTTCAAATATTCTTCAAACTTTCTCATTGCAGCCTATTTCCTAAGCCAGCTATCTGCTTAGCTACACATAATGCTCCTAATTCTTTCTTTTAAAATTGCCACATATCAGTCTCCCATTTATTCTCTACAGTCATAATTCTTATCTATTATATTAATATGATTAGAATTCATTCCTTTTACTGTTAATGATCACTGAAAAAGTAGGGTTTTTTTCTATTAACTATTTTTAAAACTCTAAGGGTCCCACCAAATGAACATCTTGATATTTCATTGTAAAATTTGGGGGAATACTTTTAAAGCTGTAAGACACTCCCAAAATACTTCAGTTTTTGCTCTCTCTCTCTGTCTCTGTGTGTGTGTGTGTATGTGCGTGTGTGTGTGTTTGTGTGTGTATAAGAGACAGAGAGAGAGAGACACGGAAATGCAGAGATGGGAGAAAGACAGAGAGAGAATGCTCTTAATATAAATATGTTTTGACAGGGTCATGTTGTGGAGAGACCATTCTCCATGAGTCTCTTACATTTCTTCATGTCTTATATGCAGAGGCACTGTCCAGCTTTGCTCCGGATTATTATTTCAAAAATGTTAGTATAGTAAACAGCCTAAGTAGGTAGAGATAGTGTTTTCATCTGAAGCAAAGATCTGTTCTTTCTGTTTTTTTCTTTGTTTTTTCTATTTTTCTTACTGGTCAGTATAGTAAAAACATGTTTCTCTTTGTGTAAAGATCAGATATGCTTTCTGCCCACTATAGAAGATTTGGTTTCCCTAACTCATGCTTCCTCTCCTGTAGGGTAACTTAATTGCATGTAAAGATGCCACCTCAACCTTTTTGTGCTGCCCTATGGAAACTGGAGCTTGAAGAACCAGTATAAATACTGATATACTGGCTATTACTACCTCTGTAAATAATAAAGCCCTTTGTTTCTTATCTAAGGCTTTATTATTATTTTTTCTTTTCTCTGAGTATCCATGAAAGAGGGACAGCATAACTTGTTAGTTGAGAAAGATTAACACACTTCTGTTTTCCTGGGGATTTCGTGGTGAAAATGGGATGCTGACATAGGCATGTTCTCTGTTGGCAAAAAGAAAGATTAGGAAGGATTAGTCTCTGCGCCAATAAATAGGAATATAGGGAAGTTCATATATGGTCACCTGGATAACAGTGTCCTTCACTTCGATGCCTTTCAATTAAAATGAGTTGAATAGATGGTTTCAGAAAAAGCACTGGGAAGTAGGTACAAAGACAACTACCCTACTACTTTTTATATAAGTGGGTGAAGAGAATGCCCCTATGTGGTGATCATCCTCAGTTCTACTGCTTTGTAATAACTAGTACTGAGATTTGTCCTGGGGTTTCATAGTAGAAAGTTCTGTCACCTTTCAGACAACAGAGATGCACTGGGGAAGAATTGAGGGAAATTTATTACCACTATGTGCAGAAATCAGGCAAACCATTAAAATTTTGGCTAGTTCACTTGGGAAATGAAAGAGTGGGGCATATAATGCTTATTAAGGAGGAACAGCAACTGATGAGTGTTTTATGGCTTAGTCTCTCCTGCAGTCTAGACTGTCAACCCTAGACCCTTTCAGGGTTTTGTTGTTGTTGCTATCGTTGTTGTGTGTCCTGACTTCTATGTGGGAACTTTGGCTCTCTCAGGAAGACTTCCAAAACGAAGACAGACTGCTTGGGAAAACAACAGGTGAGGCATTAGCTAGTATTTGGGCTCTTACTACACTGGTTAGACTTTACAGTGCTAATGAAAGTGATCCACTAATTTATGAGAAAAACACTCAAATAAATCTAGATAAATTCTTGCAGGAAGCCAGGCCATCTTGGAAAATTATCCTAGGCCTTATGTTGAAACTACACAATCTTGATCTTAAGAAATGTTATTTCTTAAGATCTTAAGAGATGTTATTTTGGTAATGGTACTGCAAATGTTCTAGAGTAAGGTGGACTCTAAAGAAAAATAAAGACACCACTGTGTACATCAAATCTAAATAAGCCAAAGGAAATAAATTCCACAGCCCCAAACAGAAAACAATGTGGTAATGGCTGTTGAATCAAGGGGTCCACAAAGCTAAAATAGATGGCGTCAGTGAGGATGATGTTACTGCTAATATAGGGCATTGAGTGAGCTAAAAACATTGGAAGTTCATTTGGTTGAGTTACATGCAGTCACCACTCTGCTCAAAATTGAAGATAAATATGTCATGCCCTCTGATTCTTCCTTTTCCACAACCACATCCTCAGCCTCTTTATGAATAAATATGATTTGGGGATAAGTTATATGCATTCCTGTCCAAAAGAAGGACCAGAGGCCATATGCATCTGTCTCGGTATGCTATGTAATTTGGGGGAAGGCAGGAACTCAAACTTACATGGCTCTGTTGGGGAAATGTGCCCAACTCAGCATCTTATTGGGGTTCAGTGTGTATAAAGATGCTCTGATTCAGTTAATGAGATATTTGGTCTGGGTATACAGTGGGGAAGAGCAGCTAATACGGCCTTGTGGACACCACCATTTGGGCAAATTTAATGTACAGTTGTGGTTTTCACTGTCGAATTCACTGTATAATGATATTAATGGTTTATATGTGGATACTACACATTCTTATCCATCTTCTGATGTCTGAAGTTTTCACTAACTAGATGATATCCTGCTGGTCAGCAAGTCAGAATTCTCAGTGTCCATGGACCTGATTGTTGTATTATTACATTTCTACTAACAAGGATGGCTACTGAGGTATTAAACTTCAATAAAATTTAGGGGCCTGCTAGCCAAGAAGTATTAATATTTTGGCCCTATATGAGTGCATACTAACACTGTCAATCCTACTGGCTGTCAAGAAAAAAAAATAAAACCTATTGTGTCTTTCCCACATCATCTCCAAAAAGAGATACAGCAATTTATTGAACTCTTTGGATACTAGAGATAGTACACGCCTCAGGTAGCATTCTACTTGGAAAATGGTACTAACTAGTCCACAGATAAGCATCCATCGAGTGGGGCCCAGACAAAAAGGATACGTTTAAAATTGCCCAGTGAGCTTTGCATGTCTTCTACACAACTGATCTCTTTGAACTATAATTCTCTGTGGCTAATGATTTTGATGATTGGAGTGTTTGGAAAAGTGAAGCACCCCTATAACCACAGGAGTCCCTGGGGTTTTGGAGTCATTGGCTTGGTGGCACAGGTTCCAAGTACACTCCTTTTGAAAAACAGCACTTAGCTTGGCATGAGACACTAGTCAAAACTAAATACCTGATCCATGAAGGAAGGGTTCGACAAGCCTCATTTGTCAGATGAAAGTAATACATTCAAGAATGCTATTGGTTTGGACCCAGTGGCATCTTTGCCTTTCATTTTCAAAAGAGGTTACTATCTCTTTGAGGAAGTCTTTATCCTTCACTCTGCCAACTGAAGCAAAGTGCTGTCATAATGGGGTCCTTGCTTCACAGAGTTTGCCCTAAATGCCTGGGCCTGATTCACTGAAGGCTCATCTCAGCAGGAACCTGATGGTGTCCACTGGACTGCTACAGCTGTTTGCAATACCAACTATTCAGACTGAACATGGACATTGTTCTTCAATTCAGTAGGATAATATTCCTTTTGATGAACCTTGTTTTATGTTTGCTGTCTCTTGAGCTTTTGCTAATTGTCTAAACTACTTATTCTCCTACCTGGTAAACTGTAGACTGACAGACTTGAGAAGCCTCTCTTTAGGACCACAAACTGTGGTAACAAATCACCCTGCTGATTGAACCATCTGGGTCACTCATAGAGCTATGCATAATGAGGATTTGTTCCCTGATGAAACCAGGTGAAGTCTGTCTGCTAATTGAGCCTGCATTGCTCAGATTTCCACCATTGCTGTCTAGATCCATTCTCATACAAGACATGGCAACACATTCATTATTATAGATCAAGCAAAGTAAAAGACCCTAAGTTTATGATGCACGGCCTATCACTGTATACCAGGCATATAAATCTTGCCAGAAGTTAATGTGTTTGTTTCATGATAGGAGAGACCACATCACACTGGGCATTCCACTCCCCTGCTATGGCACATTAACTAGACCAGAATGTTGTCTTCTCTCAAGGGTATCAGCAGGGTCTCATAGCTGGTGATTTTTTTTTTTTCAGATTATAATGCTCATTCCATGCCTGATCAGCCAAGTCCACACACAACAGTGGCTCTTGTAATTGGTCTATGTCATATTTTCAGATGTCTTGACAATTTAGAGACTGATGCTAGCACTTTTTTTGTCAAAAATGTATACAACAATGGGCTAATATTCAAGTTATACAATGGACCTCCTACATTCCCTAACATTCACAGGACTCTGGTATTGGAGAACATTGGAATAACCTTCTCAAAAATCAACTCAAAAAGATTTATGACCATACCTTCCTCAACTCTTCCTTATCCACACACTTTAATAAAGCAGTTTGGCTACTGAGTATAGCTCTACCTAGAAACATCATTCCTTTTCAGTTACTTCCTCCGTAATGATCAGTATGAAAAATATAAGAGGTCATGTAATCATATTTTGAAAGTTTGAGATTCTGCTCTGATTGTTACTGGGCATGATACTTGTTACTTTCTCCCAATAGCAATCCCAAGCTGGACTGATTTGTATGCACTCTGTGTGGCTCCCTGGGCAAAAGGAGGCCTAAGGGATTCAAACTTAATTCTTATTCAACTACCTAGATTCTTTATGAAGATTAAAAAAGGACACAGATCTTTTATGGTGGCAGGGAAACAGTAACAACTTTGGCATTTTCCTAGAGCAGGAAAATCTTAGACCCCAGAAGCCATGGATGAGGTAGTGACATTAATAATTATTATTTTTTTCTTTCTGACTACCCCTGGAGCCTTCCCCAAGAAAAATTACCTTTAGTGGCTCTCCTAAACTGTAACACACACTTAAATTTAATTGATTTCTGTGTCTGTAATGCCTCTTGGTAATCTTCCACTAGGCAGCCCTGATGACAAATTAATTGCCATTTCTTTTATCCTTACCAAAAAATCTATCAAAAGAACAAGTGATGGCCCTAGTCCCAATACTTTCCAGCAAAACTTCTATCAATAATTCTAGTTATCTGCTTCACCCCATTCCCACTACAATAGCTTAGTCATTTTGTGAAGTAGAGAAAGCCATCTGGATGATAGTGAGAAAATACAGAACTGAGTAGACCAACTGCCTACGATCTTACCTTCAAAAACATTAAAGATATCCAGTTATTCAAACCGAATTGAGAAACCAAGCAGTGCCAGCTGGCCAGGAGGTGATATTAGAGCAATGTCAACCTGTCTCCTAGATGATGTAGATCCCACTTCGATGGTCTGAATAACTGTAAAGAGTACTTTATTTTTAGGGGTGCCACATGTACTCTTGGTACTGTATTTCTTTTGTAAAAGCCAAGCATTCCCTTTGTCTCTCCTCCCAAAATGGTGATTGTCACCTTAAAAGTGGCCATAGCATACCTTCAAGCGTTTAAAGAAACACCCCAGTAGATCACATAGCCCTTAAATGACTGCCCTCTTTCTACAAAATGAGCTATACTTGGTTACTTAGGGGTGCTTCCCAGGAAAGCTGACTTGCTATTTATAACCACCCTGTAGGCAGGTTTTCCTGCAATAGGAATCATCTAATTTAAAAAGGTAATATAAAATTTGTCTTTGATATTAGTTAAAGTGATCAAAGGCACCACCTTGGTCCTGGGGTATATTTGGTTTAGTCTTAACTCAGTGAGCATGCCGGCTATTGATAATTTTTGCCCTCGATTTTCTCTTTGCAGGCCAAAGTAGAGTTTTCTTATTCTCTAACACATCCTGTTGTACCTGGATTAGTGCCTTGGGCCAAGTGGGAAGGTCAATATGGAAAGTTAAGGAGAGTGACACTTGGATTTCTAAAGTAGATCAAACGGTTTATGAGATTTGGTCAGCTGGTTGAGTCTGGGACCCTGAGGAGCACAGTTGATGTTAATACTACAGATTGCCTCGTAATGCTGCTCAGATTCCTAATGATAGTAACCTTAATTAAATACTATATGAGAAAAAAATGAACACATTTAGTTCTAACCTCTATCAGTCACATTAATTAGTGTGGCTGTCAGACTGGTGTACTCATAGAAAAATTTGCTGAAACTCAAGATAGCATTGAGTAAAGAAGACAATATTGCCAAAAAACAATTCTGTATGTGTCTCTCAGGTGTCAGCACATCTAGAGAACAGAGGTAATAATAGCCATTGTTCTGGACTATCATTTCAAGGGAGTTTGTACACCAAAAGACATGGAAAGTAATGATAATCTCCCCCTACAAAGTAAAAGACAGGTTTTGTTTGTTGTTCAGTATGACAAAGATAGTGTTTTTTGGGGAGGGCAAAGATCTGGCAGATTACTGCCCATCATTAAAGATTTGATTTCCCTAAGTTCAGACTTCCTCCCCTGCCACTGTGTGTATGCAGGCACTCAGCTCACTTAGCTTTATCCTGTGGAGCACAAAAATAAATGCTGATATTCTGACTACTGCTATTGCTATTAGTAATAAGGTCTGTTGTTTCTGGCCCAGAAATCTCATGTCTTTTGCCACCACACATAAAACTGTGGCAAGCTAAGTTGTCACGTGCATAGGGTAAAATCTCAGACCCTTCTAAGTTCTTGACAAGTATAATATTACTAATGTCTACTAATTATGATTTCAGTTACTTTGTAAAGAGTGAAAAAAATTTAGTCTAAAGATCTTATAGCTATCATTTCCAATTGATGCTGGACTTTAAAATTATTAAGTGAGTAAATTAATGTGATTATATAGTAAATAATTCAGTACTGTCCTGAAGAAAGATTCTGGTTCCCACTAAGGACATTTATTTTAATATTTTAGAGAAACTGATATAAGATATAGAAAATTCCTCATGACAAAAATTGTTCTTTGACATTTGTGGATAGTTTACAAATCTATGGAATATTTAATTGAGAGCCCTCACTCTAATGGTGCATATATTTATAGGGTACATGAGATATTTTGGTATAGAAATGCAATGAGTAATAATCACATGGTGGCAAATTGGGTATCTATTACCTCAAGCATTTATCCTTTGTGTTACAACCTAAGTATACTCTTCAACTTATTTTAAAATGCACAATTAAATTATAATTGCCTTGTTGTGCTATCAAAAACTAGGTCCTATTTATTCTTTAACTATTTTTTGTACCCATGAACCATTCCCATATCCCCACCACCACTCCATCACCCTTTTCAGCTTCTGGTAGCCATATTTCTGTTCTCTATATCCATGAGTTCAATTGTTTTCAGTTTTAGATCCCACAAACAGGTGGGATCTGTACCTGGCTTAATTCACTTAATGAATGTAATGAACTCCAGTTCCATCCATGTTATTGTCAGTGACATGATCTCATTCTTTTTTATGACTGGATAGTACTCCACTGTGCATAAGTACTACATTTTCTTTATTCATTCATCCGCTGAGGGACACTTAGCTTCCTTCTAAGTTTTGGCTGTTGTGAACAGTGCTGCAACAAACTTACTAAGAGTGCAGATTATCTCTTTGATATAATGATTTCCTCTCCTTTGTGTCTATACCCAGTAGTGAGATGGATAGATCTTATGGTAGCTCTATTTTTAGTTTTTTGAGGAACCTCAAAAACTGTTCTCTGTAGTGGTTGTTCTAATTTACATTCTAACCAACAATGTAGGATGGTTCCCTTTTCTCCACATCCTCTTCAGCATTTGTTATTGCCTGTCTTCTGGATATAAGCCATTTAACTGGGGTGAGATGCTATCTCATTGTAGTTTTGATTTGCATTTCACTGATGGTCAATGATGTTAAGCACCTTTTCATATGCCTACTTGCCATTCGTATATCTTCTTTCAAGAACTGTCTATTCAAATATTTTGCCAGTTTTCTTTTTCCACTGGATTATTAGATTTTTTTCCCATAGAGCTATCTGAGCTCCTTATACATTCTGGTTATTAATCCCTTGTCAGATGCATAGTTTGCAAAAATTTTCTCCCTTTCTGTGGATTATCTCTTCACTTTTTTGACTGTTTCCTTTGCTGTGGAGTAGCTTTTTAACTTGATGTAATCCTATTTGTCCATTTTTGCTTTGGTTTCCTGTGCTTATGGGGTATTACTGAAGAAATTTTTGCCCAGACCTAGGTCCTGAAGAGTTTCCCCAAGGTTTTCTTGTAGCAGTTTCATAGTTTGATATCTTACATTTAAGTGTTTAATCCATTTTGATTTGATTATTGTATATGGTGAGAGATAAGGATCTACTTCATTCTTCTGCATATGCATATACAGCTTTCCTCATAGCATTCATTGAAGACACTGTCTTTTCCCCAATATATATTCTTGAACCTTTGTCAAAATGAGTGCACTGTAGGTGTGTGGATTTGTTTATGAGTTCTCTATTTTGTTTCATTGGTCTCTGTCTGTTTTTATGCAAGAGCCATGCTGTTTTCATTACTGTAGCTCTGTAGTACAATTTGAAGTCAGGTAATGTGATTCTTCCAGTTATGATTTTTTTTTTTTTTTTTGCACAGGATAGCTTTCATTATTCTGGGTCTTTGGGGGTTTCATATAAAATTTAGGATTGTTTTTCTATTTCTGTGAATAATGTCATTGATATTTTGATAGGGATTGCCTTGAATATGTACTTTGCTTTAGGTGGTATGAAATTTATAACAATATTGCTTCTTCCAATTCATGAACCTGGAATATCTTTCCATTTTGGAGGTCCTCTTCAATTCATTTTATCAGTGTTTTATAGTTTTCATTGTAGAAATCTTTCACTTTGGTCAAGTTAATTATGAGGTATTTAATTTTATTTGTGGCTCTTGTAAATGGGCTTACTTCCTTATTTCTTTTTCAGACAATTCACTCTCGGCATATAGAAATGCTACTGGATTTTGTATGTTGATTTTGATCCTACAACCTTACTGAATTTGTTTATCAGTTTGAATAGTTTTTTGCTGCAGTCTTTAGGTTTTTCCAAATATAAGATTATATCACCTGCAAACAAGGATAATTCAACTTCTTCCTTTCCAATTTGGATGCCATTTATTTCCTTCCCTTGTCAGATTCCTCTAGCTAGGATTTCTAGTACTATGTCAAATAACAGTGGTGAAAGTGAGCATTTTTGTCATGTCCCAGATCTTAAAGGAAAGGCTTTCAGTTTTTCACCATTCAGTATGATACTAGCTGTGGGTTTGTCACATACGATTTTTATTATATTGAGGTGAGCTCCTTCTATAACCAGTTTTTGAGGGTTTTTATAATGAAGAAATGTTAAATTAATCAAATGCTTTTCGGCATCAATTGAAATGATCATGTGGTTTTTCTTCATTTTGTTGATATGAAGTATCACACTGATTGATTTGCATATGTTGAACTGTTCTTGCGTCTCTGGGATAAATCCTAGTTGAGCATAATTATTTTTTTAATGTATTGTTTAATGTTGTTTATTAGTATTTTGTTTGGAATTTTTGCATCAATATTCATCTGAGATATTGACCTGTGGTTTTCTTTTTATGATGTGTCTTTGTCCGGTTTTGGTGTCAAGGTAATACTGGTCTCATAGAATGAGTTTAGAAGTCTTCCTTCCTCCTCTATTTATTGGCATAGTTTGAGTAGAGTCAGCATTAGTTCCTCTTTACATGTTTGGTAGAATGCAGCAGTGAAGCCATCAGGTCCTTTTTCTTTACTGGGAGACTTTTTATTATGGCTTCAATATCATTATTTATTATTAGTCTCTTCAGGTTGTGGATTTCTTCATGGTTCAATTTCCTCTAAATTTTCCAATTTTTTGGCATATAGGTGCTCATAGTAGCCACTAACGATCCTTTGACTATTTTATATCTTCAGATGATTTCATCTTGCTCATTAACATTATTTTCTTTCAGATTGAATAATTCCCTGTAGCTTTTCTTATAGGATAGGTCTTGTGTTGATGAAACTCCAGCAAATTTTATATCTTCAGATGATTTCATCTTGCTCATTAACATTATTTTCTTTCAGATTGAATAATTCCCTGTAGCTTTTCTTGTAGGACAGGTCTTGTGTTGATGAAGTCCCTCAGGTTTGGTTTGTCTGGGAAGGTCTTTATTTCTCCTTCATGTTTAAAGGATATTTCCCCAGATATGCTATTCTAGGGTAAAAGTTTCTGTTTATTTGTTTGTTTTAACTCAGTACACTAAATATGTCATGCCACTATCTTCTGGTCTGTAAAGTTTCTACTGAAAAGTCTGATGCCAGATGTATTGGAGCTCCATTGTATGTTATTTGTTTCTTTTTCGTTGCTGCTTTTAAGACCCTTTCTTCATGCTTGACCTTCAGGAGTTTGATTTTTAAATGCCTTGAGGTAGTCTTCTTTGGTTAAAATCTGGTTGGTGTTCTATAACCTTCTTGTATTTGAATGTTGATATCTTTCTCTAGGTTTGGGAAGTTTTCTGATGATATATTGTTTTCTTTTTTTTACTTTTGTTGCTCTTTTATTGTCAAATGAGATAAAATATGCAAAGACTATGTAATTTTGGAATGTCATTTGAAAATTTGAGAAATGCGTCTTCTGGCTTTTAAGCTTTAGAATGAAATAGAAAGTTACATTGTACAATTGTTATGAATGTGTGTTTTTTAAGAATGCAATTATCTAGAGTTTCAGACTACAGACATAACAGGCTTTCTTAAAAAAGATATTATTCTTTTGAATAAACTTTCTACCTCTATCACTTTCTCCACCTCCTGTTTAAGGCCAACAAGTTTTAGATTTGCCCTTTTGAGGCTATTTTCTAGATGTCATAGGCCTTCTTCATTGATTTTTGTTCTTTTTTCTTTTGTCTATTCTGATTGTGTCTTAAATAGCCTGTCTTTAAGCTCATTAATTCTTTCTCCTGCTATTGAGAGGCTCTGACAACTGACATTCTTCAATATGTCAACTGCATTTTTCAACTCCAGAATTTTTACTTCTTTTTAATTATTTCAATGTATTTGTTAAATTTATCTGATAGAATTGTGAATTCCTTCTCTGTGTTATCTTGAACTTCTTTGATTTTCCTTAAAACAGCTATTTTAAATCCTCTGTCTGAATGGTCACATATCTCTGTGACCTCCAGGAGTTCAGAAAAATCCTGTTTCTCCAGAATTGACCCTGGTACCTTAATTTGTTCATTTGTTGTGGTCATATTCTCTTGGATGGTCTTGTTGCTTGCAGATGTTTGTTGGTGTCTGGCCATTAAAGAGTTAGATATTTATTGTAGTTTTTGCAAACTAGGCTTGTTTGTGCTTGTCCTTCTTGGGAAGATTTTCCAAGTATTTGAAAGGATTTGGTCCCCAAGTCCAACAATGCTGTGGTTCCTGCAGACTAGTAGAGGTACTTCCTTGATAGTTTTCGGATAAGATTTAGAAGAATTCTCTGGATTACCAGGCAGAGACTCTGTTCTCTTAACTTACTTTCTCCCAAACAAAGTCTGTGTGTGTGTGTGTGTGGTGAGCCACCTGAAACTGGGTTGTGGTGATGCAAGCACCTCTGTGTTCACCACCGCTGAGACTAGACTGGGTCAGACCCAAAGCCAACACAGCACTCAATCTCACTGAAGGCCCATTGTAAACTCTACCTGACTACCACCTATGTTCAGTCAGGAATCTAGGGCTCTACAATTGGCAAGTGGTGAAGCCAGCCTCATTTCTGTCCTTCCTTTCTGGGCAGTGAGTTTCCCCAGGTCCCAGGTGGGTCCAGAGATTCTGTCTGGGAGCCAGGGTTTGAAGTCAAAAATCTTAGAAATTTACCTAATGTTCTATTCTACTGCAGCTAAGCTGACACTCAAACCACAACACAAAGTCTGTCCTGCTCTTCCCTCCCCTTTCCATAGGCAGAGGAGCCTTTCTCTGTGGCCACTGCCAACACTGGCCCATAGGCGATTCTGCCAGGTCACTGCCGATGCTCACTTAAAGTCCTAAGGGCTCTTCAGTCAGCTTGTGGTGAATGCTACCAGGCCTGGGACTTAGCCTTCTGGCCCAGGGAAGGTTCACAAACCTGACTGAGAGTCTAAACCTGGACTTAGGGACCCCAAGAGCCTGCTTGTTGCTCTATCCCACTGTGGCTAAGGTGCAAGACAAGACCCCTTGACTTTTCCCTCTGCTTTTATCAAACAGAAGGAGTCTTTCACTGTAGCCACAACAGCTAGGAATGTGGTGTGTCCCACCTGAAGCCAACATGTCTCACAGCCCAAGGCCCATTGTGTACTACCTGGGTATCCCTGCTGGTTGTTCAGGACCTACTGATTAAAGGGGTCTTTAATCAGTAGGTGATGAATCCTGACAGGACTGGGTCCTACTCTTCAAGGCAGCAGATTCCCTTTTGGTTTGGGGTGTGTCTAGAAATGTTGTCTGGGATCTAGAGTCTGGAATGGGGACCTCACAACTCTGCCCAGTGCCCTATTCTATTGTGGCTGAGCTGGTATGCAAGATGCAAGGCAAAGTCCTCTCTACTCTTTACTGTCCTCTCCTCAAGCAGAAGGAAAGAGTCACTTTCATTGCTGTCAGTTGTGCTGCCTGGATTTGGGGAAAGGGTGTCACAAGTATTCCTTTGGCTGCCCCAGCTGTTGTTTTACTAGATCATGTGCCACCCTAGTCCTCTGGCTCTGAGCCCAACCCAGAACTAGGAGTTGCCTAGGAATTGCAGTCCTTGTTTCCTACACTGCCTTTCTGGTTTACCTAGGACACCAGAGAACTTTGGCCTCCATTCGCAAGGCTTGCCAATACACTCATGTTTCAACCACTAGAATGGGGAATTCCCCTCTGTCTAGGGCCAGTCTAGGGCTCCTTTCATACCTGGGAACTGGCTAAGCCCAGCATGTCTTTTCTCTCTGCTGTGACAGGGCAGTGTGAAGTTCAGTGTAAAGTCCCCCAATCACTGCCCTCTTTCTCACTAAAGGAGACAGACTCTTTTTGCCCCACAGGACCATGCAAGGAGATGGGGAAGGCATGATGTTGGCAATTTAAGACTGTCTCTCCTACCCTCTTCAATGCCTCTCTTTCAGCAATGTCAAGTTAAAACAAAGTACTGTGATGGCCTACCTGATTTTTAGTTCTTGTGACTTTACTGTTTAGATAGTTGTTAGAATTTTGTGTTCCTACAGGGAGATAAAGGTTGTAAGCTTCTGTTCCACCATCTTGCTCCACTGCCAATGGCTATTACTGAAAAGTCAAAAGATAAGTACAGTGAGAATGTGGAGAAAAGGAAACTCATATATTATTGAGAGGAATATACACTAGTAAAAACATTATGCAAAACAGTATGGAGGTTTTTCAAAAAAATAAAGGTAGAAATACCACATGACCCAGCAATTCTGTGCATATACTCAGAGGAAATAAAATCACTATCTGAAAGAGATCTCTGCTTGCTCATGTTTCTTGCAGCATTGTTTACAATAGCCAAGATATGATAATGACCTAAGTGTCCGTCAATTAATGAATGAAGACATTTTAGTGTGTGTGTGTATATGTACAAAATATATACATACAATGAAATATTACTCAGCATTGAAAGAGAAAGAAATTCTGTCATTTGCAACAACATGGATGAACCTGGAAGACATTATGCTAAGTGAAATACGTTAGACACAGAAAAACAAATACTGCATGATTTCACTTATATGTGGAATCTAAAAAAGTTGAACTTATAAAAACAGAGTAGAAGGTTGGGTACCAGGGATTCAGGTGGGGGAAATGGGAATATATTGGGGATATATAATTGCAAAATGGTGATTGAGGTGGGGGAAATGGGGATAATGGGGATATACAGTTACAAAAAGTATACAATTGCAATGATAAGATAAATGATTTCTGGATCCTAATGTACAGCATGATGACTAAGGTTAATAGTAATGTATACTTGAAATTCACTACATCATAAGTAGATGGATATGTTAATTAGCTTGATTATGGAAATTATTTGATAATGTATATGTATATCAAAACATTACATTGTTATATACATATATAAAATATTTGTCAAGTATATCTTAGTAAAGCTTAACAAAAATGAGTTGTGTGGGGTAAAAATGAACTTTGGGAAAATATTTAAAATTTTCTTCTTTGATAGTATTAAGAAAAAGTACTAAGGGTAGGGAAAGGTTATTAGTTTGCTATCACTCAATCCCTGCTGAGCAGAGTAGAACAGGAATAAAAAAAGGAAGTCAGCTCTATAATCCCAGCTGCAGGCTGATGAATCAGTCAGTGATTAATTGTTGCTACTAGTAATTGAAATAATCATATTTCAGAGAGAAAAAAAAACATTTGGTCTCTAAAATATATTTGCTTAAAAAATGTATTGCTGCAATATTATTGAACTTTTAAAAAGGAGGTATAAAGATCTTCATGCAAAACTAAAAGGGATGTGATTACCAAAATCACTCCAACATCTGGTAGTAGGTCTTAAAAACTCCCCTCTGACTGTCAAAATCAGTAGTTCCCTTTACACCAGGCCTCTTATTTCCTTACAGACTTTTCTTTTAAAACAGAATTTGCTTTATAGAGAACACAGCATAATGTAGAATGCAAACTAACAACGATAAAAATGACAATATACATTGCCTAATTTTCAACAAAGCAGTGAGTTTATGTTTACTCTCCCCCACAAAATGGTGTTCATGCTTTTTAATTGATGTTAGTGTGACTCATTTGACAGAGCTTATCATGCTCCAAATTCTAAGTATGTAGGACCCTACCCTAAGAATTCTGGAGTCATTGTCTTCAAGGAGTTTACTCTTTTGTTGTAAAAACATAGTATATACATAAAATGTTAATAATAGCACATGGATAATATAATCACTAGAAAAAACTTTCTAAAGTTGGAAATTTACATTTAGTGAGTGCTTAATATCTTATTCAGGCTGTCTACAAAGTTTTCTTTTAACTAATTTCTGAAACAACCCTGAGATGAGGATATCATATCAATTTTAAATGAAGAATAAACAGGATCAGAAAGGTTAAGTGATTTGCTCAATTCCACATTGTCAGTACATAGTAGAACCAATTTTCAAATATGATTTTGGGTCCATCTGATTGCAAAAACAAGAGACAGAGAGAGACAGAGAGAGAGAGAGAGAAAAGTAACTTCACATTTTAAATCCTTGGTGATGATATAAGTCTTAAAGAATACCATTTACAGAGTAGAAAAATTGGGAGAAAAAAATAAAATAGGAGGAAAGATGAATTTATTGTTATTGTTTCTGAAGCAATGCTAGGGCATATAAATATAAATGTCCAATAAACAGAGACCATTTTTTAAAATTCCAATTTAAAAATATATTGAGGGCCAACCACGGTGGCTCATGCATGTAGTTCCAGTACTTTGAGAGACCAAGGTGGGAGAATCACTTGAACCCAAGAATTTGAGACCAGCCTAGGCAACACAGTGAGACCCTGTCTCTCAAAAAAAAAAAAAAAAGAAAAAAAGAAAAAAAAAAGAAAAGAAAAGAAAAGAAAAAAAGAAAAAGAATTTAAATTAGCCAAGTATGGTGGCACACGCCTGTATTCTCTCTCAGCTTCCCAGCTTCTTGGGAGGTTGTGGTGAAGGATGGCTTGAGCCTAGGAGGTTGAAGTTGCAGTGAGTCAGGATTGTGCCACTGCACTCCAGCCTGAGAGACAGAGCAAGAACCTGTCACAGTAAAAAATAAATCAGGACTGGAGATGTGAATATGGTACTTAATTGTCCTTCAATGTGGACACGATGAAAAGTCAATAAATGAGCAACTATATTCTTGATTCCAAACAACTAGATTATGTCCTTGAGCAGTTTGAATTCTAGAGAGTATGGGGAATAGCTAGCAAAAATGGCTGTAACAATCCCTCCCTTGCCTGTAGGTACATGCTACTCCTCATGTTAAAAAAAAAAACGGAATTTATTTATCTTCTCCTTCAATCTGGATTGACTTTAGATTTGATTTAACCATGTGGTGGAAGTGAAATTGTCCTTGTTCAGGGCCTAGACTTTAAGAGACATAGCCGCTGATTATTTCATTCTTTTGCTATCCTAAGGCTTCTAGAAAAGAAGTCTAGGCTATCCACTTGGAGAAAGTGGCCATGTGAATAAAAGGACCCCAGCAGCAGCCCAGCACCATGGTTCCTGACATGTGAGTAAGGTCACCTTTGATCCTCTACCCCAACTATCACCTGAATGAGTGAATGCAGCCAAGATCACAGAGCACAGACGAGCCATCCCTGACAAGCCTTGCTCTCATTCTTGGAAAACAGAATCATGACTAATAAGCTGGTTGCATTTTAAGCCACTAAGTATTAAAGTAGTGTGTTGCACAGTATAGCTAAGAAACAGAAGGGGACTAACAACAATTAATTTATTAAATATTTGTTTTCCTTCCTGACAGACAATGAAACATTCCCATAAGAAACATAAAGCAGGCTGGGGACAGTGGCTCACGCTTGTAATCCCAGCACTTGGGAGGCCGAGGCGGCGGATCACGAGATCAAGAGATCAAGACCATCCTGGCCAACGTGGTGAAACCACGTCTCTAATAAAACTACAAAAATTAGCTGGGCGTGGTGGCATGTGCCTGTAGTCCCAGCTACTTGGGAGGCTGAGGCAGGAGAATCGCTCGAACCTGGGAGACGTAGGAGGTTAAAGTGAGCCAAGATCATGCCACTGCACACCAGCCTGGCCACAGAGCAAGACTCTGTCTCAAAAGGAAAGAAAGAAAAGAAAAGAAAAGAAAAGAAGAAAAGAAAAGAAAAGAAAAGAAAAGAAAAGAAAAGAAAAGAAAAGAAAAGGGCCAGGCACGGTGGCTCATGCCTGTAATCCCAGCACTTTGAGAGGCCGAGGCAGGTGGATCACG
The DNA here is from genome assembly GCF_000001405.40 of Homo sapiens. Taxonomy (NCBI): domain Eukaryota; kingdom Metazoa; phylum Chordata; class Mammalia; order Primates; family Hominidae; genus Homo; species Homo sapiens. The sequence goes on along the minus strand of NC_000006.12, from coordinate 93,680,377 downwards.
AGGTCACGAGATCGAGACCAGCCTGACCAACATGGTGAAACCCCATCTCTACTAAAAATAGAAAAATTAGCTGGGCATGGTGGCACGTGCCTGTAATCCCAGCTACTCGGGAGGCTGAGGCAGGAGAATTGCTTGACCCTGGGAAGTGGAGGTCACAGTGAACCGAGATCGCACCACTGCACCACTCCAGCCTGGTGACAGAGCAAGAGTCCATCTCAAAAAAAAAAAAAAACAAACAAACAAAATAAAAAAAAGGAAAGAAAAGAAAAACATGAAGCAAGGCTTAAAGATGAAGAGCTACCAAGGAAGTGGTAAAGAAGTATTTACATTGGGTGGTCAGAGAAGGCTTCCTGAAGAGATAACATTCAAGCAGAAAAGGAAGTTAGATAACTAAATGGGTAACAGAGATGAGTCACAAACATCAGAAAAAAATATACATATATATATCTACAAATGTTTTCGTGATATGTTATAAGCAATATATTCAAATCAAATTCACCATCCTTCCTATATTGGCATCCACATAGAATGCCCATCCTGTCATCTCCTTTTCTCTGCATTACTATTTATCTTTACAAATCAATTTAGCTGTCATCTTCTCCAGGAAGACCTACCTGACTTTTCTAATCTGGGTAGTGCTCTCTTCTATGTCATCATAGCTCCCTGTATTTTCTTATATGACAGTTTGTAATATACATTAACCTTAGAGCTCTTTTAGAGTAAAGAAATTCTAACTTTGATATACCCTGCAATATGTACATTGCAGGTAAAATGGCAATGTTTTTCTGCCTCTACTTACACTGAATTCACTATTCTTTCTTTTGTTTTATTTTATTTCCTAATGGTTCCTAGTGTAAGCACGTCACCAAAATTTAGATTAAATCAAGAAAAAAGTTTTTGACCAATGGCTGCTTAATCTGTCACTGAAAAGTAGCAACAAAACCAAGCTTTTATCAACCAGAAAACATATTGTGCTTCCTTTGGGAAAGTAAACAAGACAGTAGACATAGAAGCCTCACACAAAGGGGGAAAATAAACTGAAGGATTTTAAGAGTAACACCTGTCAAATGGAGCAGTAATGTGTATGGTTTGACAAAATAGGCTGGTGACTGTCAAAGTAAATAATAAATCTTCCAGCTCTGACTAATGACTGAACTATGCTGGAAGACTTGAGGGAAGCATCCAATAAAATGCAAAATTGAAAGAAAAATTGGAACGGTCGGCACAGCCTCCTAGCAGCTAAATTTCAAGTAATTTTGGAAAAACACAAACCATTCACCAGGTTCCATGGCAGAGGGAAAAGTTCCAAAAACTGTTCTGATTGAGCATTCTGCTTTAGTTAGGAAATCACATCTCTTCTGATGGAGTGCCAAGAAGTTGGTTTCTGCTTTTTCAATACAGAAAAAATCCTGCCGTGACTGTGACATTCTCTGTGCAGACATTCAGCTGACTGCCAATAATATCATTAGGGAAGAACAGCTAGAGCTGGACCCCTTTGTACGTAGAGTGAAGCAAACTGCAGAAAAGGCATAGATCCAGGGAAAGCCCATCTCTGATACCTTTCTATTTTCATTTCTTCCCAATTCAGGTACCTAATTTCCTTTAGTCACAGCTTCTTAGAAGACTATCTTATTTTTTCTTACCAGCAAGCAAAGATTTTCTAACATTATTATAAAGAAAACTGGCCAAGTGTCTGCTGATTATGTTATGATCCTTCCAGGGGCAGTTTCATTTATATAAATTGTTTCTTGAGGACCCAAAAAGCCTTGATAAATTTCTGTTCTAGAATTTAATAATATATCACAAGTGGAAGAATGCATCACTAGTGAAAGAATTTTAAGCACCTCAAAAACACAGTTCTATAAAAGTCATCTTTTTTCAGAAACTTTCCACTTATCTCTCAAGTTCAAAGTAGCAGAGGTGAGTACTGGTTTTCCCTCTGTCTGACTCCTTTAATTTTGTCTTTGTTTCCAGAGTAAACTATGCTCTAGATTCCCTATATCATAATGAAAGAGAGAGGAGGAAAAACAAAGTATCCTTTTTTAAGGGGGGACCATCTCTAGGTATTATTTAGCCTGCAATAGCATGGCTTGCTTTCTTATTTAATTATTTTTATTTATGTTCTTCCACTATTTATTTCTCCTTCATGTCTTTTATGCATTAGATTGTATTGAACCTAGTTCCAAATATGTTTTTTTCATAAAATTTGGTTACTGTTATAAGTAAGCAAAGTTGAGATGAGAAATAAACTAAATATTAAATCTAAAAACATACGTTTAATATTTGTTTTTTTCTAACTTAAATATATTTGCTAAAATCTGTAATTTAAAAACCTCCTAACCATTTTATTTATTTTAGGCACTGTCTTGAAGAATTATACTGGTCTAAAAACTGCATTTTATTAATATATTATTTTCATAGCCATACTTATGAAAGCAAAACATCAAGACATTTTCTGATTACAGAATGAATATTTGAATTCAAGATCATGCCAGATTTATGGCTAGCAAATCGCTGTCAATGTGTATCCCAAGTGCAGTGAGAGGTTGGCTCCCTCAAATACCCATGACTCAGAAATGACAGGAATCAGGATGCCTTTGCTTCTTTCCCAGTGATTTCAACATTCTAGGATGATTTGATTCAACAACCCTTTGGTTGATCCATTCTACTCTGATAGGTGGTTATCCAACCCAGTCACCACCATGTCCAAGGAATCCTGTACTTCTTGCAGCAATTATTCTGCTTGGCAGGACTCTCTTCTCTGAAGCTTTCTCTGCTCATTTTTCTTGCTGCCTCTGCAGGGTCAGTAATGTGTCTGCCAGTAAAGTGTTGTCTCTTTCCATTTCCTATTCCCATAACCACAAGGAATAGAAGCAGTTCCTTCGTTGAGGAAAGAGTATTTGTCCATTAATAACCACGCTAGTCTAGCATTCAAATCCCTCGTTGACACTTAGGTCATTTTTACCTTGGACTACTACAACCACATACTGTGCTGTCTCCAAGGCTTTATTCTTCTCTCCAGTTTAAAATGATATGCACTCTACAGTTCAAATCATTTTCTAGATGCATTTAAGTTATGCCCATGGGAAGAAAGAGCCTGAGCTTGGCAATATTGCATACAGGAAGTGTGGTGTGGAATGCAAAGAATTGTCTAAAAGAAGCATTTAAATACACTATATGATGACAGAGACTCAGCTTAATAGTTTTTTGCACTCCAGGAATCAAGAAATTCCAATAAACTATTACAATTTTAATGGCTACCTTTGACAAATTATGAGAATTTGATCTGCCTGGATCCCACCTTATTACAAAGTTATTAAAAATATTTTGTGTAATTTGCAAAGTAAAAAGTCACTGAATAGTACTGTCATGTTGTTATTTACTAACTTCTACTCTGATGCAGTCAAATCAGCAAAGAAATTGTAGGAAGCTCCTTGAACAATAGGTACATGGTTTGCCAAATATGCTCATAAGAAGAAAAAGCAAAACTTAGAGGAATGTGAGACTGAAATAGAAAAAACAAACAAACAATTGTCTGCTATCCTGGGAAACTCTGTTTAATTTCCTGGCATCTGAGCCATTTTTGTAACCTATGTTTTGGAATTACTATAGCCCTGTATGAAAGAGTTAATTCATTACCAAAAGGTGAGCCATTTCCTGTCTACTCAATTGTAGAATCAGACTAAGTACTATTTTATCAAAGGAGCATTGGCTGTCACCCAGCGTTAATCATTTTCAGAACAATTATGATTTACTTTAGACATAAGGCTGATGGATTTTTATTTCCAGATTCCATTTTGGCAACTTTAAGCCTTACCTCATATGTAAGACTATTACTAAAAACAGTGCCTCTCCAAATTTTCATCCTTCATTATTTCTGTTTCTCCCTAAAAAAAAAAAAAAAATTAAAATTAAAATTAAAAAAATACAATTAATTACATTCGTTAGTTAGCCAATGTGATTGCCAATGCTAGCTTAAACATTGTTTGTATATAATTTTACATAGATGTGGAGCCAATAGAGATCTGAATGATTGTGTGCTTTTACACATCTTTTAGCTAAATTAAAAATCCAAAAGCTAAATCTTGTGTTCTGGGACAGCATGTGAATTTGATATTTCCTGGCGGCTATTGGAACCATAAACCATTGAATAGACTATATTCATTCATTTAAGTGGTTTGTGACTGTGAAAGACTAAATATTTACAATGTCTTTTATCCTTGGATACAATGTAATGATTTCATCATTTTAATAGCCTTTTACTCAAATGTGGTTGCATCCTGGTTAGATTTTAGACATGCATTTCAAATAGTTTGGGTCTCTGTAATCATTTCAATGACTCCCAAGATTGAAAAACAATATATAGCAAGAGTTCAAGTCTTTGAACTTATTACTTTAGTTTTGATTTATGTCTTCCCTCCAGAATTTTGCCCTGTTTACCAAACTTTGCTCTAAATGTTCAGATAAGAGATATTTGTGCTGAGTTGGTCAGTGGAAGGTCACTAACAGATCCCAGGCATATATTTATAAGTGCAAGTGCATGTACACAAATAGGGATTTGGCAACTTAATGTGAATGAACCAAGACAAAACCATAGCAGTCACTATAGAAACAATTAAAACAATATGCCCCCACTGAAAGCTATGGAAATAGCTTTGTGGTACATATGAAAACACAGTATTATCCCATTAAAGCAAATATCTAGGTTTTTTTTCCCTTTTAGACAGTCCTAACAAATGCCAGAATCTCTTTGTCTCATTTCAGAACGAAAAATTGATTTGTGTCTTCTTTCCTACCTCACGTAGGGTGAAAATTAAATCTGGTTTATTTTCAACATAAAAATGTAGAAACAACATTGGTTCATTTTACATTTGGTTCTAATAATCACAAATATTTATTTCTATGAATATTCAGTCTTCTGAATAGCAGGAAAATAAAAATACTGACTAACATATACATTGTCAAAATATAATTTGTGATTACTTCCCCTAAGGTGCAGAATGGATATGATCACTTAGAACTTTTGTACCAAGAATTTTTAAATGCTCAGCTCAGAGTAGTTGATACCAATGATTATTTTATGAACCATTATCCTAAAATACCTATCTAAAACGTACAATAACTTGGTTGGATCTTCTGTCAAACCATAATTTATGTCACAATGAGGTTAGATGCCAAATGAAATAAATAAAGGCTAAGGAATTTTTTGGCTTGTAATATACTGATACTTAATGAATGTTCAAAGAAAATCATGTTCAAAGGGGTGTCTTTTTTTCTACCCTACAAGGAGAAAAATATATATACTTTGGTTCTTTACCTGTTGATGGTTCTTTACCTGATAGGGTGACTTAACCCTTCATTCCTGAAAGGTCTGGGCCATTTGCAGTTCTGCCAGAATTGGATTGTCATAGTTTTCCATTGACTTTAATTATAGGGTATGTTAATACTAGGAGACACACTAAGGAATCTTCTGGATTTCAGACATACTCTTCCTTACCTTTATTGAGGAGGATTAGTTCAATTTCCCCTTCGTCATCAGGATTAATAATCCCAGCCAACACCACATCTTTCTTCTTGCCTGTTGACTCAAAGGCATGAGGAACCCAAAATGGCCAGGTGGCAGTCTTAACATCCAACACAATGAAATCATTGTTGTGTCTCCTGGTAGAAGCATTTGTTTCTGTGGAACTAAGACCTCTAGGCTGACAGAAATTAAAGCTGCAGAAACAGGAACCAAAAATTTTGCTAGTGGGTCACCAAAGGTAATTGTAAGTGATGCCACTCCCATTTCCACTCTTTGACTCCTAGACCTATATATCCTGGCTATCAGAGAAAGAGTACCACATAATGACACTGATTCAGAGCCTTCTGGAGAATCTTGCTCCAGCCCTGAAAGGTATTATTACCTAGCTGGTGCTGTAATTCAGTCTTCAAAAGAACATTCCATCATTCTATCAAGCCAGCTGCTTCAGATTGGTGGGGAACATGGTGAAATCAGTGAAATCCATGAGCATGAGCCCATTCTTGCACTTCTTTTGTTTTGAAGTGAGTTTCTTGCTCAGAAGCAATACTGTATGAAATACAATAACGGGAAATCAAAAAAAAATGGCTAGGAGGTTATTGTAATTATCCAGACCAAAATGATTCACAACTTATGTTAATTTGATTGTCCTGAAAAAGATGAAGAGGGAATGAGTTTGAGATAGAGATGTGGTAAGATTAATAAGATCTTCCCATGTAGAGATGGGGAGTATAGGTAAAGTAAATAGTATGTTGGTGTGATGAGTATATGTAATATATAAAATGTGTATAATTCTCTAAGCATGTGCTTAAATCTCTATGAGTATGAGAAGTATCCACTACTCTCGTGTGCTTCTCTGTGATGTTTGTCAATAACTACTTTATTCCCTATTTAACATTTTTCCCCACAGCAGATAAAGGATTTTTAAAATGTGTAAAGCAGATGCAAGCTGGAAATCCCTTTCTGTTAGTAATTTCTGAGATTGGATATGGATGATTAAAAAAAAAAACCACTGTGCCTACCCCTTCTTATCATGCTTTCATTTGGACAGCACTCTGTCAAGTCATAGGATTTTGGCCGCGATCTTTCTTACCATGTTTGGTGGGTGGCAATTAATCACATGGTGTGCATCACCCTTTTCACCCAGTACACTAATATACTGTGCTCAAGGATGCAAATGTTCATGGTAAAAACTTATCTGTTTGCATCCCCATGTTGAACGCATCCCGCATGTTGAATGAATGGCCTTAAAATTCCTGCATCGTTGTTGTCTATCTTCTGTTGTAATAGAGATACAGGCAGGAATTTAGCCTAATTAATTCCCATTTATAACACTCAGCACTGCCCCCTAAAAATATAGACATTTAATAAATGTTTTGGTGATAAAGGAATAACTTATCTTTCCTTGGATGCATCCCTTTCAACTGAACCAAGAAAAGCATACATTGTACTGGTTTAGGGAGGATAAATGTAATTCCATGACAATTAAAAATGATAGGAGGAGTAGAAACCCATCCATCTATCTAATGACTAAACTTCGCTGGTGAAGATTTGATAATTCTAGTGAATGTTTTAGTGGAGGAGACTTTTATTTTAATATATTAAAAAATTGAGGAAAGTCTAACTTTGTTAACTCAGTAGCTTCAAGCCATTTGAAGCAACCACAGTGAACTGAAGAAAAGGGTCTGATCTATATTTTCACTTCAGAACAAAAGAAAACGATGTTTATCCTATTTAAATTAGTTCAAATTTTGTTCCTATTATTTCCAATATAATATATAAATTATAAAATCTAAGTCATATATACATACCCATACCACACGTGATTTAATATATGATATATATCCATAGCTCCACATGAAAAATTGTTATTTTTTATGATTTATTACTTTAAAATATTATATTTAACTTTTGGAATCTAAAAGCTGTTTATCAAGTGAAATGGATATATAGATAATTAAAATAAGTTTGTTAATGCAAAATTAAGAATTAGGTTATTTTTATTGATATGCTAGTTTGTGTATGAGCTTGTGTTTTATTTTATTTTAATATTTTATACCACTTTATTGAGATATATGATTGACACACAAAAAGATGTATATATTTAATATACACAACTTGATAAATCTGGCAACAAATATAAATCTGTGAAACTATCACAACAATCTATATCATAAATGTATTCATCACCTCAAAAGTTTCTCTCTCATCTCTTTATTATTGTTATTATTATTTTGTGATAAGATTCCTTAACATGAGATCTACACTTTTAGCAAAATTTCAAGTATAAAGCAAAGTATCATTAAACATGGGCACTATGCAGTAGAGCAAAGCTCTTGGGCTTATTCATATTGCACAACTGAAGCCTTGTACCCTTTGACTAATACCTCTCAGTTTTCCCAGAGGAGGGAACATGGTACAATGACTGTGGAAAACAGCATAGAGGTTCCTCAAAAAAAATTAAAGTAGATCTACCATATACTCCAGTAATTCCTCTTTTCAAACATGAAATCAAAATCGGGATCTTGAAGAGATATTTGTACACCCCTGATCATAATAGGATTATTCACAATAGCCAATAAAGGGAAACCACCTAAATGTCCATCAATGGATTAATGAATACATATGATGAAATATTATTCAACCATTTAAAAAATTCTGCCATTTGCAACAATGTGATGAAACTGGAGAACATTATGGTAAGTGAAATAGTTCAGACACAGAAAGGCAAATACTACATGATACCACTTCCATGTGCTTTATTTTAGTACCAACACAAACCAAACCATGCGGTATCTAGAAACTGCTTGTTGGAAACTTGGCTTCTGGGTTAAGACTTCTGCTGAGAGCACACAATCTGTACAATGAGCTCTGAATAAAGAAATAAATCTCAAAGTGAAGCAAAAGGTAGTTTTTCTTTCTTACTGGAACACATTTGACAAATCTGTTCTGTTTAGGTTAGTATGTCAAACAAGAAAAGGATAGTAACTCTGTGTCCTAGTCAATTGAATAATGTCTTCTTTTTCAGCTCTAGGAGCAAGGAATTTGCATTGGTTATTTTTATGGCATAGAAAAAGTATTACCTGTATATTCTCAAATCAAGCCTATTAAAGCACACAATTTCAAGCCAAGCTTATCAAGGCTACTACTGTGATTGTACTATATTTGTTACTAACATATAATGCAAATTCAATTAAGCTTTCCCTGAGGCTATTGTTGTGGCAAATAGTGAGCTCTAGAAAATAAATAATATTCCAAATTCACTAGTTTTTAGTATGCACCAGAAATAGGATATTTAGAATTCCACTTACAGAATTTAAAATTATGAACTTGATTTTGTGGATACCACTGAAATACTTATTGAAGAAACATGTTCTTATTTTATAAAATGTAGTTCTCATTTTATCATTTGTATTTACGTTCCAATAAATTTACTTTCTCCTTTAATTTTATTCACTGAAAAATTGCTTCTGACGTGTTTTGCATTTCCCTATCCCTCCAGATCTGTTTTTACATGTTTCACACAAGATTTACTGTGATGCTGTTAGCAATTTCTGCCACCAGAGAAAGTTGTGTTATATTTTTTCCTATGATTCCCTTGCAAAGGTTTAAATGAAACTGAGCTACATTTCAGTTAAAACTGATATTTCTGTCCAGTTAAGTTACTTAATTATCTCTTCTATAATTTAAGCTGTGCCTAAAAATAATATTTCTTAGTTTATATTGATATTTTGTGACAATTTTTACTATTCCTAATAGTATTTCAAAGAGTTATCATTTTTTACTTATATACTTGATTTTTTAAAGTTTTCTGCATTAATAATTAGATTTATTAGGTCTCCAAGCCAAATAGCTTAAAAATATTTGTATCCAGTTTTACAGTGCCAATCAATTAATATATAGCAATGAAAGCATACATTTAATTTTTCCCACTAGGGATTCCTCTTTGGATCTAAGTGTTGCCACTCTGCTGCCTCTGACAGGTAATTTGAATTAAAGATAGGATCAAAAGACTTGCACTTTCCTGCCTTAAACTCATTCAAGAGAAGGATATTTATCCTCTACTATGTTTCTACATAGGTAATACTTATGTTACTATAATAAAATCAATAATAATAATAATGTCAGCAAAATGATAATGAGAATTTATCAAGCAGTCTCTGGGGGTCAGGCACTGTGATAAGGCTTGTATCAGTAAAGATAGGATAGCTTACGCAGTACTAAAACAATCTTCAAATTGTGTGCTGTCCAGTTTGGGTTAACATAGAGACAAGAGCTTCTCAATAAATGCTTCCAAATAATTTCTGCAGGTGAAGAAGATGGGGCAAATCTTGAGTTGGTTGTGAAAGCTTCTGCACGTAACTCCCTTTTCTCCAACTTTCATGGGCTGAGAAGGCCATACCCAGATACAAAGAAGATAGCAAGTGCAATCCTACCATGTATCAAGAAGAAAATTTTTTGAATTTTTTGCACAATCCTAATGATTTGGGGGACTTCAATCCTTAAATCAGCTTCTCTAATAAACACCAGGACTTTCTGCCATCTCTGTCAAGTTCTATGCCCTCACCTTGCTTTATTTTCTTCAGACTACTTATAAATATATGAAATCATATTGTTTGCTTGGAGATATAGAATTGGACATAGAAAAATATAAATAAATTCATATTTGTAATGCACAATCCATGAGGACAAGCACTTTGTCTACCTTTTCTTTCTTCCCCATCTCCATACTTTCCTTTTCTTTTTTACTTTTTATTTTTCTCTTAACTCTATTGCCCATAGCTGCACCTGTTAGATGTTAGTTTCTTTGTGTAAAAATAAATTATATATATTTTATTAACAAGGAAACTATCTTAGAAAAGTTAAGCAACTTAACTAAGATGAGGTAGCTATGTAGCAGCCGAATTGTGATTCAAAGCTGGAGGTTTAAACATTCAGCTGTATAGCTACTGTGCTTGATAATTACATAGGCTACTGGGAAATACATATATAATTATGAAGTTACATGAAAATGCTGTAAGAGAATCATATATAAATTACTATGGAATCACAGAGGGAGTTAACACTATGGCAGGTTTGAAGGTGATGAAGAATTGAAGGATTTTGAATGAGGTCTTGAATATATTCAACAAATATATATTATTTGTTTGGATTTATTTCTTTGACTTTCTGCTATGAGCCAGGCATGTTCTAGTTGCTAAGGAGACAAAAATACCCAAGATAAGTTTTGACCCTTCTAGTGCTTCTAATCTCATAAGATATGTGCCAGTCAGACACACACACACATATACAAAATCACTACTCAGTGAAAGGCTGATAACTGTTATCTGAAGCTATTGGAGGGATAGTTGGGACTAAATAAGAGGACATTTCATTTGAGTCGAGTGAGCAGATGTTGACAGACAGATTATACCTTCCAGGTAGGTCTTTGAGAGCGATAGGCTCTAAAGTTTGGCCCACGACATGACCATAGAGGAAGATGAAGCAGGGACCGGGACTTTGCCATATCCCTCAGTTGCTCTCTACTAAAGCATCTGCCAATGATATTCTTCCACTTTTCTTCCAAAGCAATATTCTTCCATGTTGCTTGCTTCTGACTTTCCAAGCAGAGTCGGAGAAAAATAATTTCCTCATAAAATACACTTATGGCAAGAATTCAGAATGAAAATATTTAAACCACTGCAGTCTTCTCTACTTAGAAGGCTGTGAAGTTTGATTCTTCCTAAATAAATGGGGAAAGTACCATTCTTATCAATAGCATATATTGATAACTACTGAGTTCAGGACATGTTTGCTAAATTTTAGATGAGGAACAGAGGATGGTACATGGACGGAAGATAATGGTACAGTTAGAGATTCTAACTCAAAATGAGGGGTAAAGGCACCAAGTCTATTGACATTCAGAGGATGCAGAGGTGTCTAAGGGACATAATGGGTGCTAGGACAATGCCAACAAAAAAGACATGACGAAAAGCACTTTCCAAACAAATGAAAGGTGGAATTATCAAAGTGAGGTGTTATAGCATTGAGGATAATGTTTGACTGCTTATAATAGAAAACCCCAAAGTGACAGTGTCTTTAAAAGAGATAGATTTTATTTATCTCTTACTAAAAAGTACATATGTGACCTGATATGGTCTTCTTTCTGCTCTGTCATTTATTCTAGGCGATAGGGGAACTGTCTGCATACCAAAAGTAGTAATGGTTGAGAATCGAATAAAGGAACTATTTATAGAGGTATAAGGATGGCTAAGAGCAACAGAAGAGAATGATGAAGATTCCAAGGAATAGAAACAGGGGAAGTCAACAATAGCTTTAAGTCTGAAGGGGTGAGAAGGAGATGCTGTTACACGAAATTAGCGCTGTGGCCATATGAAGAGCAACTGTGCCTTCGAAAGAGTACCATCACCACTGCTAAACTTCATTTCAGCAGAGAGAAAATATAGGGAATTAATAAATAATCTCATACTCTCCTCCTCCATTTCATTTCCTGTCATTGGTCAAATATAACTAGAAGCTACAGGCCAAGAGAGCCCAGGGGATACTTTCAGCATCTCAAGGAACAGAACAGGTAGAAAAGAGTAAAATACTAAATTAGAAGAATAAACATAAAATAATCAGTTGCCTCCTTTTATCCCTCAGTATGTGTTTTGTCTTTTTTCCATGTTTGGTCAGCTTGGGACCCAAAATCACTTAGTCTCCCATATTTAGGCATTTAGAATTTACCAAGACTCAGTTATACACCAGGAGCAGCTTTTCAAATGGCAGAAAGGGGCATGCATTTAATCTGAATTTCAAGAGGAATGTGCTGGTATTCTCCTGTTGGGACTTGCCAGAGATCTGAGGAGGCATCTGTCACGGTTCCATTCAGGACCATTGGGTCTGCTGCATCCTAAGATCCATATGCCAGAAAAAATTGTAATGCAGTCTAGGCCTGCTGTGTAGCCTTCACTTGCTCTGGGCCTCACTCAAAACTGCAACCTTAAATATAAATAATATATTACTCACAGTTCTCCTGAGGGACAGAACCATTAGGATACATGTATATAAAAAAGGAGTTTATTAGGGTGAATTGGCTCACAAGATTACAAGACAAAGTCCTGTGACAGAGTCCCCTGCAAGCTGGGGAAGAGAGAAGCCAGTAGTACCTCAGTCCAAGTCTGAAAGCCTCAAAACCAGGGAAGCTGACAGTGCAGCTTCAGTCTGCAGCCAGAGGACTAAGAGTCTCTGGGAAGCTGCTGTTGCAAGTCCCAGAGTTTAAAGGCTGAAGAACCTGGAGTCTGATGTCCAAGGGCAGGAGGAGCTGAAGCAAGTGTCCAGCATGAAAAGAATAAAAAGAGCCAGAAGATTTAGCAAGCAAAGTTTTCCACACCTTCCTCTTGCTTTGTTCTAGCTGCACTGACAGCCAAATGGATGGCACCCACCTACATTGAGGGAGGGTCTCCTCTCCCAGTCCAACAACTTAATGTCAGTTGTCTCTGGCCACATCCTCACAAACACACTCAGAAACAATTTCTTACCAGCCATCTAGGCATCCCTCAATGCAATCAAACTGACACCTAGTATTAACCATCACAAGTTCACTCCTTGTCAACTTGGCATCCATACACATCTTCTTAAATTATACTTAACCTCCAAATAAGGACAATAATAAAGTCATAATTATGTCTAACATAATATAACTATCCTTCGTACAACCAACCAAAAGTGCACTAATCCTTTAACCTAAATGCTATTACATAAAATTAACAGCATTTAAATACTGATAGACATGAAGTCAGTAAATCTTATGTTATATGATAAAGTAATAAAAATGGAAATAAAATGAAGATATTTTCTTAGTACTGGTGTGCATATCCACCAACATATTCTTAACCAAATAAGGAAAAAATGCTCATGACAATTAAACTCTTTGTTTCTGTAACTGGTCACATGGTTGTAGCTGGTGTTGGTAACTATCTTTTTCCACTATCCATTCAGTATTCCCCTTGCTTTCAGCAAGCACCTCAGCTGGTTGTGGTTTTTTTTGCCTGGTGGCATGACACAAACCTTCATTTCTGAAGAGCCTTGACTATGTGTAGTCTTGCCTGGATTGGGTTGATGTAGCTTCCCACTGACCTTAACTACAGGGCAGGGTAATACTGAGATGCCCTAATGAATCTCCTGTATTCCAAACATACTCTTCCTTACCTCCATTGTGGAGTAGTAGTCTGATTTCATCTTGGTAGTCCAGGTCAGTCACCCAAACCAGCACTGTAACTCCTTTCTTAGTCTCTTGACTTAGAGGCAGGTGGAGCCCAAAGTGGCCAGGTAGCAGTTGTCTCAACTTCCAGTTCAATGGAATCGTTGTTGTGTCTCCTGGTGCAACATTCCTCCCTCTGGAACTAAGACCTCTAGGCCAGAAAAACATAATATCATGGGAACAGGAAACACAAACTTTCTGGCAGGTCACTAGGGGTTATGGCGAGTGGTGCCACTGCCACTTCTACCCCTTTATCCTTGGACTCATAAATACTGGCTATGGGAGATACAGTACCATATATTGGATGTGATTCAGAGCATACACAGCCTTCTGGAGAACTTTGCCTTAGCCGGCATTGTAATTGTGACTTCAAAAAGCCATTCCACTCTTCTATCAAGCCAGCCGCTTCAGGATAATAGGGAACATGGTAAGACCACTAAATGCCATAAGCATGAGCCCACTGCCACACTTCTTTGCCTGTGAAGTCAGTTCCCTGGTCAGAGACAATGCTGTGTGAAATATCATGAGAGTAGATAAGGCATTTTGTGATTCCACAGATGGTAGTCTTGGCAGAAGCACTGCATGCAGGAAAAGGAAATCCATATCTGGAGTAAGTGTCTATTCCAGTAAGGACAAACTACTGCTCCTTCCGTCATGGAGGAGGTCCAATGTAATCAACCTACCACCATGTAGCTGGCTAATCACCTCAAGGAATCGTGCCATATCGAGGGCTCAGTGTTGATCTCTGCTGCTGGCAGATTGGACACACAGTAGTGGCCATAGCCATGTCAGCTTTGGTGAGTGGAAGTCCATGTTGCTGAGCTTATGCTCAGCCTTCATCCCTACCACCATGTCTGCTTTGTTTATGAGCCCATTGGGTGATAACAGGGATGGCTGGAGAAAGACGCTGAGTGGTATTCACAGAACAGGTCATTCTATCCACTTGATCATTGAAATTCTACTCTGCTGAGGCCATCCTTTGGTGAGTATTCACATGGAACACAAACATCTTCACAGTTTTTGACCACTCAGAGAGGCCCATCCACATACCTCTTCCCCAGATTTCTTTGTCACCAATTTTCCAATCATGCTCCTTCCAAGATCCTGGCCATCTACCCAAACCATTGACTACAGCCCATGAATCAGTATATAATTGCACACTTGGCCATTTCTCCTTTCAAGCAAAGTGCACAACCAGATATACTGTTTGATGTTCTGCCCACTAGGAAGATTCCCCTTTGCCACTGTTTTTCAGGAATCTCCCAGAAAGGGACTGTAGTGCTGCAACTGTTCACTTTCAGGTGGTGCATGCATATTATGCAGAACCATTTGTCAATTAGATCCTAGTCTTTTCTTCCTCTGTCAACTGATCATAGGAAACTCTCCATGAGGTCATACATGCAGGCTGAGAGAGACATGGTAGGGTGGTAGAAGTGGGGACCATGGGCATTTGGGCTACTTCCTCATGTAACTTACTTGTGCCATCAGAATCTGCTAGAGCCCAATCCCATATGTACCACATCCATTTGATGATGAAATGCTGCAGCATATGCCCACCCTTATGGGTAGATGAGTCAGAAAGCAATCAATTCATGATAGTCAGTTTAGGTCATGTGGTAACTTGGTGATATGGTTTGAATCTATGTTCCCATCCAAATCTCATGTTGAATTGTAATCCTCAGTCCTGGAAGTGGGGCCTAGTGGGAGGTGATTGGATCACGGGGGCAGGTTCTAAAGAGTGGTTTAGCACTATCCTCTTGGTGCTGTACTTGCAAGAGTGAGAGAATTCTTCAGAGATCTGGTCATTTAAAAGTGGATGTCTCTCTCTCTCTCTCTCTCTCTCTCTCTCTCTCTCTCTCTCCCTCTCTCTCTCTCTCCCTCCCTCTCTCTCTCTCTCTCCCTCTCTCTCTCTCTCTCTCCCCCTCTCACCATGTGACATACCTGCTACCCCTTCACTGAGGCCTCCCAGAAGCAGATGCAGCTATCCTTTCTTTACAGCCTGCAGAACTGTAAACCAATTAAATATCCTTTCTTTATAAATTACCCAGTCTCAAGTATTATATTTCTCTACAGCAATGTGAGAATTAACTAATACACTTGGCGACCCACAGTCAAAGGTTCAGTTTTTACCAAGGCCCAGTAACAGGTTAAAAGCTGTCTCTCAAGAGAATAGATATTTGCAGAAGATAGTAGGGCCTTGCTCCAACTGTCATTCATCTGTGGGGACCTGCCAAAGGCTCCAATCATCATCCCTCTCTGTCACGGATACCTCAAACACCATTGGATCTGCTGGGTCATCTGGCCCAAGTGGCAGACCAGCTTGCATAGCAGGCTGGACCTGTTGCAGAACTTTTTCCTGTTCTGGAACCCACTCAAGACTAGAAACCTTTTGGATCACTTAATAAATGAGTCAGAGTAACACAACTGAATGAGGAATGTGTTGCCTCTAAAATCCGAATAGGCGCACTAGGCATTGTGCAACTTTCTTGATTGTAGGAAGAGCCAAACGCAGTAACTTATCCTTTACTTTCAAATGAATATCTCAACAGGCCCCACATCAATAAACTCTTCAATATTTCACTGAGATAGAAGGATCCTGAGTTTTAGTCAAATTTATTTCCCATCTCCTGACATGACAAACATCTCACTAATAAGTCTAAAGTGGTTGCTACTTCTTGCTCCCTGGGTCCAATCAGCATAATGTCATCAATGCAATGGACCAGTATAATATCTTGTGGAATGGAAAAGCAATCAAGATCTCTGCAAACAAGATTATGACACAAAGCCAGAGAACTGATATACCCCTGAGGTAGGACAGTTAAGGTATATTGCTGAACTTGCCAGCTGAAGACAAGTTATTTCTGGTGGGCATTATGGACAGGAATGGAGAAAAAGGTATTTATCAAATCAATAGCTACGTACAAGTTACCAGGAGATGTCTTCATTTGCTCAAGCAATGAAACCACATCTGATACAGCAGCTGCAACTGGAGTCATCACTTGGTTAAGCTTACAATAATCCATATTATTATCTAAGATCCATCTGTCTTCTGCACAGGCCAAATAGGAGAGTTGAATGGGGATGTGTTGGGGATCACCACCCCTGCCTCTTTCAAGTCCTTGATCATGACACTAATCTCTGAAACCCCTCCAGAGATATAATATTGGTTTTATTTACTATTTTATTTGGTACAGGCAGCTCTAATGGCATCTAGTTGGCCTTTCCCACCATAATAGCCCTCACCCCACAGGTCAGGGAACCAATGTGGGGATTCTGCCAGCTGCAAAGTATGTCTATCCCAGTTATGCACTCTGGCACTGGGGAAATAACCACAGAATGTGTCCAGGAACCCACTGGACCCACTGTGAGTCAGACTTGAGCTAAAACTCTGTTAACTACCTTACCTTCAAAAGCCCCTACTCTAATTGGAGGGCCACAATTACATTTTAAGTCCCTGGAAATCGATTTCATATCAGAGTAAGTGCCCAGGAGTCCTCAAAAGGTCTGATCATTCCCCTTTCCCTAATGCACAGTTACCCTGGTAAAAAGCCAGAGGTCTCTTTGGGGAAGGATGGGAGAAAGATTAACAGTATAGATTTTCAGGAGTGTAGTGGGGTTCTCCCTCAAGGGAACGTGGCCTTCCCTTCATTCAAGGGGTACCAGGCCCATAAACTGGCTCAAGTTTGGAAATTGATTGAGGGACCTTGATTCTCTATTTTTATAACTCAAATTTTACTTTGTCCACTCGACCTGGAAGTTTTCTGCTTATGCAAATCAAGTAAGAATGCAGTAGGCTTCCTATTAATTTCACTTCTAGGAACACCAGGATTAATTAGCCACTGCCAGAACTCTATACAAGTCAGACTATTCTGATTGCCACTTTGCCTCTGCTGTTAATTATGGTAACTATGCCCACCTTGCCTTTCATGATTGAGTGCTGCCATTTAGTTGTTCCACCTGGGAGCCAATTATTCCCATTGCATTTAAGTTTTCCAATTGAGTGGCTGCCGTTTTCACTGTAAGATCTGGCATATGAAAAGGAACTATCACAGAACTCTTCAAGGATGCTGGTACTTGCCTCACAAATCTATGTCACAGGTATTGGTGAAGGTTATATCTTCTGGACTCTCCCAGTTGAGGTGAGTAGGTATTCAGTGACAAGGCTACTCTAGCATTTCAATCTCCCTAAGTCTTTGGATCACTTCATCTACATTAAACCAAGGGAGATCAGGTGTCTCTAGCTTGCTTACAGTGGACCATCTTTCGCTCTATG